>NC_000005.10:181026922-181177367 GCF_000001405.40 Homo sapiens | reverse complement strand
CTATAAGAATATTCCTGATGCTTTTTAAATGTTATCTGCTCTTTGTTTAAGCACCTTCTACATGCCAGGTATTCATTCAAAATGAACTTACGAACTCCATTTTTTTTTTTTTTTTTTTTTTTGAGAAGGAGTCTTACTCTGTCACCCAGGCTGGAGTGCAGTGGCGCGATCGCGGCTCACTGAAACCTCCACCTCCCGGGTTGAAGCGATTCTCCTGCCTTAGCAATCCTGAGTAGCTGAGATTACAGGCAGGCGCCTGACTCTTTTCATTGAGAATACAACACAGTATTATTACCTGTAGTCACTATGCTATACAATAGCTCTTTAGAACTTTTCCATCCAGTCTACCTGAAACTTCATAGCCTTTGCCCAACGTCTCCCCATTTCTCCGCCATCCCTACAACCCAGCCCACAAGATCATTGTAATAGACACAGAAACGCATTTGGCAAAGTCATGTTTTTTATGACAAAAAAGAAATTAAAAAACTAAGAA
The DNA here is from genome assembly GCF_000001405.40 of Homo sapiens. Classification (NCBI taxonomy): domain Eukaryota; kingdom Metazoa; phylum Chordata; class Mammalia; order Primates; family Hominidae; genus Homo; species Homo sapiens. The sequence goes on along the minus strand of NC_000005.10, from coordinate 181,176,874 downwards.
TAGAAGGAAAATTCCTCAATTTGATAAAGTACATTTACAGCAGACTTATAGTGAACATTATTCTTATTGTCAGAGGCATTTAAACCAGAGTGACTCCATCTTGTATAAGGGCTGTTTAAATAAAAAAAGGCTGAGACCTACTAGGCTGCATTCCTAGTAAGTCTGGTATTCTAAGTTACAGGATAAGATAGGTCAGCCCAAGATACAGGTCATAAAGACCTTGGTGATAAGACAGCATGCAGTGCAGAAGCCGGCCAAATCCCATCAAAACCAAGATGGGGATAAAAGCTACCTCTGGTCATCCTCACTGCTCATTACATGCTAATTATAATGTATTAGCATGCTAAAGACACTCCCACCAGCACCATGACAGTTTACAGATGCCATGGCAATGCCAGGAAGTTACCCTATATGGTCTAAAACAAGAAGGAACCCCCAGTTCTAAGAATTGCCCACCCCTTTCCTGGAAAACTGATGAATAATCCACCCCTTGTTTAGCATATAATCAAGAAACAGCTATAAAAATGGACAACAGCAGCCGTTGGGGGCTGTTCTCCCTGTGGAGTAGCCATTCTTTTATTCCTTTATTTTCTTTCTTTCTTTTTTCTTTTCTTTTTTTTTTTTTTTTTTTTTGGAAAGGAGTCTCGCTCTGTCGCCCGGGCTGGAGTGCAGTGGCGCGATCTCGGCTCACTGCAACCTCCGCCTCCCAGGTTCAAGGGATTCTCCTGCCTCAGCCTCCCGAGTAGCTGGGACTACAGGTGCCTGTCACCACGTCCGGCTAATTTTTTTGTATTCTTAGTAGAGACGGGGTTTCACCATGTTAGCCAGGATGGTCTCGATCTCCTGACCTCATGATCCACCTGCCTCGGTCTCCCAAAGTGCTGGGATTACAGGCGTGAGCCCCCGCGCCCGGCCTCCTTTATTTTCTTAATAACCTTGCTTTCACTTTATGAACTTCCCGAATTCTTTTTTTCGGGGGGAGATGGAGTTTTGCTCTTGTCACCCAGGTTGGAGGGCAATGGTGTGATCTCGGCTCACTGCAACCTCCGCCTTCCCGGGTTCAAGCGATTCTCCGGCCTCAGCCTCCCAAGTAGTGGGGATTACAGGCATGCACCACCATGACCGGATGACTTTTGTATTATTAGTAGAGATGGGGTTTCACCATGTTGATTAGGCTGGTCTCGAACTCCTGACTTCAGGTGATCCACCCACCTCAGCCTCTCAAAGTGCTGGGATTACAGGCCTCCAAATTCTTTCTTGCTCGAGATTCAAGAATCCTTTCTTGGAATCTGGAATGGGACCTCTTTCCAGTAACATTATGGTGAAAAAGCCTCCTTAAGCTTTGGAAGATGACAAGGATATCACCCTCACCATTTGTATTTCACGGAGTACTGGAGGTGAGAAAAGGAAGCTAAAGGCACAAGACAGGAAAAGCAGAAGTAAGACAGTCATTATTAGCAGAGAAAAATGATCCTGTATGTAGAAAAATCTTGAGTAATCTTAAACAACAAAACAGACTGGGCACAGTAGCTCATGCCTGTAATCCCAGCACTTTGGGAGGCTGAGGCAGGAGGATCACTTGAGCCCAGGAGTTTCTTTTCTTTTTTCTTTTTCTTTCTTTCTTTTTTTTATTTATTTATTTTTTTTGAGACGCAGTCTCTCTCTGTCGCCCAGGCTGGAGTGCAGTGGCGCCATCTCTGCTCACCGCAAGCTCCAACTCCCCGGGTTCACGCCATTCTCCTGCCTCAGCCTCCGGAGTAGCTGGGACTACAGGCGCCCGCCACCACGCCCGGCCAATTTTGTTTTTGCATTTTTAGTAGAGACGGGTATTCTGGTAACCAGGCAGGAGAATGGCGTGAACCCGGGAGGCGGAGCTTGCAGTGAGCCAAGATCGCGCCACTGCACTCCAGCCTGGGCGACAGAGCGAGACTCCGTCTCAAAAAATAAATAAATAAATAAATAAATAAATAAAATAAAGCTACAGTAATCAAGATGAATGTTATTGGCATACAGATAGGCATATAGACCAGTGGAACAGAACTGAGAATGCAGAAACAGACCTTACGTTTCTGGCCTGTTGATTTTTTTCTCTTGATAGTTTAATATACTTTTTATTGGCCGGGCACGGTGGCTCACGCCTGTAATCCCAGCACTTTGGGAGGCCGAGACGGGTGGATCATGAGGTCAGGAGTTCGAGACCAGCCTAACCAACATGGTGAAACCCCGTCTCTACTAAAAATACAAAAATTAGCCGGGCGTGGTGGTGTGCGCCTGTGATCTCAGCTACTTGGGAGGCTGAGGCGGGAGCATTGCTTGAACCCGGGAGGCGGAGGTTGCAGTGAGCCAAGATCGTGTCATTGCAGCCTGGGGCACAGAGTGAGACTTTGCAGGACTACGCGGCCCGGAACTGACGGGGTCTGCCCTGGTTTATTTTTTTATCTTTCTTTAAAGTAAAGAGTGCAGAAGGCTTCCCCTCCTCTCACGCCGCCTCCCCAAAGAGGGCCAATGTGGGTGACTTTCTGACTTTCTGAGTGGCCCCCAAAGCAAATTCCGAGGCCTGCGCGTCGCGAATCTTCTCTGCTGGGGCGCTGGTGGAGCCGTTTCCCAGCTGGTGCCTCTGGCCCGCGAATCCTGCTGGAAGGCGGTGGTTCTGCGATGCCCTGTGGATTCGCCCCAACGCCTTGTTGGCCCGGGAACCCTGGGGATGTTTTATAAGGAAGGAAAAGATGCAGGTGAACCCCCGGAGGAAGGTAGCGTGGCCGAGCGGTCTAAGGCGCTGGATTAAGGCTCCAGTCTCTTCGGAGGCGTGGGTTCGAATCCCACCGCTGCCAGCTTGTTGTGGTTTGCCCATTTTGTCCCCCAGTTCCTTGGAACTCTCCCTGGGCCGCACCCTTGCTCGGGATCTGGATTCCATTTGGCAGCGCGCAGCTGTCCAGTGGACGGGCTTTGTGCGAAGTTCGTCGGCGCTGGTGTCCACAGCAAGTGAAGTGGGTTCAGTTCGTCCCAGGTTCCAATGGTTGAGGCGGAAAGGCAAAGGTATAAATACCCTTGATAGCCTTTTTTCCTTAACCAGGTGGAGATAGCGGTGGAGTGTTGTAGGCAAGTCCTCAGTGTAACAAATCTGAGATAATGAGGTAAAAAGCAGAAGGAGGTGTTTCCGCCCGGTTTCGAACCGGGGACCTTTCGCGTGTGAGGCGAACGTGATAACCACTACACTACGGAAACCTGCATGGGATACCTGTGCCATCACAATGAGCCACCACACAGGGCGGTATTTTATTTCTCATCATAATTCAGAGCTTCCTCCATGCGTCCCTTTGAGCTTTGTTAATGAGCATGAACACACAAAAAAAGCACGTTTCAGCACCTGGAAGGCTGAGGCGGGAGGACGGCTGGAGCCCGGGAGGTCCACACTGCACTGAGCTATGATTGCAGCACTGCACTCCAGCCTGGGCGACAGAGCAAGATCTTGTCTCGAAAGAGAGAAAAGAAAGAAACAAGAAAAGGAAGTTTTCATGTGCAATGTGGTGGCATAAGTGGACACGGGAGTCTTGAGAGAGGATGTGGCAGCAACAGTAGGCACGGGGGTTGAACAGCAGGGGCGCGCTGGCACCATTTTCAAAGAGAAGAGACATTTAGAAGAAGCTGCTTGGGGAATATGAGGACACGCGTTCGTGAGTAGAGCTGAAGTTCGTGGGTCTGGAGAAATTGGAGTGGAATGAAAGAGGAAGTAGCCTAAAACACCATTGTTATTGTTCCATTGTTTGGTAGAACTCTAGATTTTCCTAGCAGCCACTGCTGTCGGACATTTAGGGTAATTTCCTCCCACCAACAATGTGCAAGCGTTATGAAGGCTACACCCTTGGCAACATTTGGCACTTTTCATTGATTATTACTTTTTTAACTTCTAGCCATTTATGGGTATGTAGTATTCCTTATGGTTTAAGTTTGCATTCAGCTGATGAGAAAAGATGGGCACTCTTTCATGGGTTTATGGCTCATGTGTTTATCTTACTGTGTGAAGTGTCTCTTTAAATATCTTGTCCGTTAAAAACGAGCAAAGAAAAAAACACATAAACAAACAGAAAACCCCAAGAAACAAAAAACAAAGAACTGGTCTGGCGTGGTGGCTCACACCTGTAATTCCAGAACTCTGGGAGGGCGAGGTGTGCGAATTGTTTGAGCTCATGAGTTGAGACCAGTCTGGGCAACACTGGGACATCATCTCTACAGAACATTCAAAAATTAGCTGGGAGTGGTGGCGTTCACCTGCGGTTTCTGTAGGTACTCGGGAGGCTGAGGTGAGAGTATTGATTGAGCCTGAGAGATGGAGGCTGCAGTGAGCAGAGATCTCGGTGCTGCACTCCAGTCTGGGTAACAGAGCAAGACCCTGTTCCAAGAAAAAAAAAAAAAAAAAAGACTCTCCTATGTCTTTTTTAATTCTGGAAACTCCTAAATTTCAGCTTGTCTGTTTAAGTGTAAATTCTGTTTCATATAATTTTTCTGTTATGGTATGAGTTTGGAATTAAGGTTAATTTCTTTCCCCTATGGATATCCAGCTGCTCCTGAACCCATTTGTTGCAAAGACGCTATTTCCACATTGAATTGCTTTGGTGCCTTTGGTGAAAATCAAATAACTGCATATATGTGGGCCCAAATTCTTTTTGTTCATTTTTTGCTTTTTAATTAAACATTTCAAATAGGCCAGGCATGGTGGCTCACCCCTGCAATCCTAGCGTTTTGGTAGGCTGAGGCAGGAGGATTGTTTGAGGCCAGGAGTTGGAAACCAGCCAGTGCAACATAGCAAGACCACGTCTCTACAAAAAAAAAAAAAAAAAAAAAAAGTTTGCTGGGCATCAAGGCTGCAGTGAGCTGTAATCACACCAGGGCACTGCTACTGGATGCTACTGGATGACAGAGTGAATCCCTGTCTCCAAATAAATAAACAAATAAGTAAATTAATACATCTTTGCATTAGATGAATATGCCGTTTTGTTTATCCATTCATCAAAGAATGAACATTTATGTTGTTTCCAATTTTTTTTTTTTTTTTTTGAGAGAGATTCTCACTCTTGTCACTCAGGCTGGAGTACAGAGGTGCCATCATAGCTCACTACAATCTCCACCTCCTTGGTTCAAGTGATCCTTCCACCTCAGCCTCACAAGCAGCTGGGACCATAGGTGCACACCACCACACCTGGCTAATTTTTGTATTTTTTGTAGAGACTTGGTCCCTATGTTGCCCAGGCTGGTCTGGAACTCCTGGCCTCAAGCAGTCCACCCACCTTGGCCTCCCAAAGTGTTGGGATTGCAGGCATGGGACACCTTGCCTAGCCTTTGTTTCCACTTTTTCGCTATAATGAAAAATGATACCATATATATTTTGTGTACATTTTTTATGTGAACCAAGGTTTTCAACTCACTTTTATATATACCTAGGAGTGGAATTGATGGATTGTATAGTAACCCTATGTTTAACTTTTTGGTATAGAAAGTGAAACTTGAAACTAGCAATTCCACTACCACCATTTATTTATATGACATTTCCAGAAAAGGCAGATGAAAACAGAGAGAAAGCAGATCACTTCTTCTGTACCACTGAGGCCGAGAGCCAGGACTGGCTGCAGATGGGCATGTCGGAAATCTTTGTGGTAACGGAACTGTTTTAAGACTGGATTGTGGTGATGGTTGCAGAATCCTATGCGGTGACTAAAAATCATTGAGCTGTAAACTTACAGTGAGTGGACTTTATTGTATTGAACTGTGCCCCAATAAAGCTGTTATGGAATGCTAAACCATAAAAACAGACCCCCAAACACAGCAGCGAGGCAGTTAGTGTTCCCCAGGGATCAGCTGAGTGACCGTTGCAGTGTGCAAAATGATTCCTGTGGCCCAGAGCATAATTAATGTTTACAGAATGCTTTAATGCAGCCTTGGAGAGCAGGTAACTTGCACCTTGAAACTTGAAGTTCTTGCTTAGTGTTGCTTGTAATTAAGCTAAAGTAGTTGTATAAATAATCAAGATGTGAGTAAATTTACGGAGATGCCAAGTAAATGAAGATGAGCGACCACCGCGAGACTGAAGCTGGGAGGGACGTGATGGAAGTCATCCAATCCAAAACTGCCGGAATGGAGACCTTGCCAATGGATGGGTTTAAAAAACGAAAAGTGCATGTTACAGAAACGAAATGAGGATCCGTCATAGGATCGTTTACGGCCAACACTCAACACCGGCACGTCCACCCAGTAATGTGCGTCTGCAGGAGGGGCCAGTGTGTGCTGCTGTGTTTTGTGTGTCATGTGCAAAGTCCTGGTCCTTGAGGAGATGGGGGCACTGGCTTTTATTTTCCACAGCTGTCTTTTTAAATCTAGGAGAGAAAAGCTGCTGTCGGCGAGCGCTCGGGGCCGCAGGAGGGTCGCGGTGTTGAGTGTGCTGGGCCTCTGCAGGGGCCGCCTGGGCGGGTCAGCTCCTGCGCTGGCTGTCAAGGTGCGAGTTACACAACCCCGGGAGGGGCGGTTCCTCGTCTGTAGAATGGGGTGAGAGCAGCGCCTTTCTTACGGGCGGGTGACCAGGGTCAGAGCAATTAACACCCGCACTAGCACTGGGTACGACTGAAGAAACACTCACGGAATCTACAGCTGTGCCAAGGCAGCTCAGTTCCAGGCCCAGGGGACACAGCACGAAGGAAACAAAACGCACGGATCCTGCTCCCCAGAGGGGAAGGGTGGGGGTGAGGAACAAGGGAAGACCGAGGCCACACAGGCGGACAACGGTGGACGGCACTGCGCGATGGAGCGGGGCCTCCGCCCAGGGAGATGTGGAAGAGGCGGCGCGAGGGCGCACGGGGCTGCAGGGGAAAGGCGGGTGCGGGGCCTGCAGGGGCCGAGCAGGAGGCTGGGGGAGGATTCATTGGAACTCGCCTTGGGCCCCACGCTTGCTCGGGATCTGGATTCCCTTGGCAGCGCGCAGCCGTCCAGTGGACGGGCTTCGTGCGAAGTTCGTCGGCGCCGCTGTCCAGGGCAAGTGAGGTGGGTTCAGTTCTTCCCAGGTGCCTCAGCCGTTGAGGAAAGGCCACGGTATAAATACCCTTGATGGCCTTTTCTCCGTAACCAGGTGGAGATAGTGGTGGGGTGTTCCAGGCTAGTTTTCTTGTAATAAATTTGAAGTAATGAGATGAAAAGCATAAGAGTCTGTTTCCGCCCGGTTTCGAACCGGGGACCTTTCGCGTGTTAGGCGAACGTGATAACCACTACACTACGGAAACTTGCACGCGTTTTCTGGCCCACCACAATGAGCCACCACACAAGGCCGCATTTTATTTCTCATGGTAATTCTGAGCTTCCTCCATGCGTCCCTTCGAGCTTGGCTAATGGGCATGAGCACACAAGAAAAGGACGTTTCAGCACTTGGAAGGCTGAGATGGATGGACGGCTAGATTATCCAAGCAGCCACTGCTGTTGGACATGTAGGTTATTTTCCTCCCATCAACCATGTGAAAGCGTTATGAGGCTACCTCCTTGGCCGCATTTGGTACTTTTCACCTATTACGATGATTATTTTTTAACTTCTAGCCATTCTTCTGGGTATGTAGTATTTCCTCATGGTTTAAGTTTGCATTTAGCTAATGAGGAAAGACGATAAGCACTTTTTCATATGTATGACTCATTTTTTAAATCTTCCCTTGTGAGGTGTCTCTTAAATATCTCTTCCATTAAAAGCAAAGAAACAAAAAACAAACAACCAAAAAATCCCCAAAAACCAAAAACGAGGAACTGCCCTCGCGTGCCAATTTAGAATCTGGCATCTTAAAAAAAAGAAAGAAAGAAAGAGAAAAAACCACGCCAGGCACGGTAGCTCCCGCCTGTAATCCCAGCACAGTGGAAGGCGGAGGTGGGTACATTGCTTGAGCTCAGGAGTTTGAGACTAGCCTGGGCAATGTGGCAAAACCCCAGGTCTATTTAAAAAAAAAGAAGAAGAAAGAAAGAAAAAGGAAAACATAAAACCTAAAGCAAACCAATTTTTCATTTTGAAACAATTATAGTTTCACAGAAAGTGGCAAAGAAAACTAAAGGGAGGTCTCAGGCACTGGTCTTTCCCAGTGATGACGTCTTACATAATTGTAGCACGGTAACAAAACCAGGAAAACGGCATTGGTACAATCCACAGAGCTTACTGGGACCCCTCCAGTTATACATGGATTCGTGTGTGTGTGTGTGCGTGTATGTTTCTCTACACAGCAATTTTATCACGTGTAGCTCCCTGTGACTATCACCGCAATCAGGATACAGAACTGTTCCATTATCACAGCCAGCACCACACTCTTAGAGCCACACACACCCCTACAGCGTCCCTTGTCCTCCAGTTCCTAACTCCTGACAGCCACGAATCTGTTTAATGTCTCTAAAAATTTGTTATGTCAAGAATGTTATACAAATGTAATAATACAGCCCGTGGCCTCTAGCAACTGGCTTTTTTCATTTAGCATAATTCCCTTGAGATCCACTCTAATTGTATCAATACAGTAATTCATTTATTTTTATTGATGAGTAGCATTTCAAGCTATAAATATTCCACAGTTTGTTTAATCATCCACCAGGTGAAAGTCTGCATTGTTTTCAGTTTGGCTATTATATTGCTTTTCTCTGAGATAAATGGTTGAATGCAATTGCTAGGTCATATGCTCAGTGCATTTTTAGTTTCTGAAGAAATGACCAATCTATTTTCAGAGTGGCTGTGTCTTTTCACATTTCTACGAGCCTTCTATGAGATTTGGTTTCTTTGCGCTCTTGCTGGCATTGATGTTATCTCATTTTTTTGAGACACCGGCAGGGGGCAGTAGAGGTGGGGAGTAGGGGGACTGCCCGGGCAGGGGTAAGGGGAGGGTCGCACTGTGCTTCCCAGGCTGCTCTTGAACTCCCGGGCTCAAGTGATCCTCCCGCCTCAGCTTCTGGGATGGCTGAGATCACAGCTTGCACAACTACGCCTGGCTGTTTTTTAATTTTAGCCGTTCCAATAGGTGTATAGTGATAGCTCCCTTTCGTCTTAATTTGCATTTCCTGAATGGCTAGTGCTGTTGGACACCTTATGTACTTATTTGGTACCTTCATTTCCCTTTCTATATAATGTCTCCTCATGTTTTTGCCCATTTTCTAAATGGATTTTTTTCTCTTTTTAGAAATTGTAATAAAATATACACAACATAAATTGCCATTTCAACAGTTTGAAATGTACATGTCAATAGCATTAAGTACATTCACATTCTTATGTAATCATCACCACTAGCCTCAATGTTTTAATCATCCCATATAGAAACAGTATAGTCATTAAACAACAACTCCCTGTTCCTTCCTCACCCAGCCCCAGTAACTCCTGCTCTTCTATCCCTGTGAATCTGACCACACTATTCCTCATAAGTGGAATCACACCATATTTGCTGTTTTGTGTCTGGCTTACTTCAGTCTGTGTAAGATTAAAGGTTCATCCATGTTGTAGCATATGTCCGGACTTCATTCCTTTTTAAGGCTGAGTCATAGCCCATCATGTGTATACACTACATTTTCTTTATCCACTCAATTATTCGATGGACATTTTGGTTGTTTTCACCTTTTGGCTGTTGTGAATAATGCTGCTATGAACACTGCTGTACAAATATCTTTTCCACTCCCTGCTTTTAATTCTTTTGTGTTTATACCCAGAAGTAGAATTTCTGGATCATATGGTAATTCTGTTTAAAGTTTTGAGGGACCGTAAAACTATTTTCTACAGTGGCTGTATCATTTTACAATCCTGTCATTAACTCACAAGGGTTCCAATTCGTTCACGTTCTCACCAACATTTGGTTATTTCCTGTTTTTCTGAAAATAGCCATGTTAATGACTGTGAGGTGGTATCTTCTTGTGGTTTTGATTTGCATTTCCCTGATGATTAATGATGCTGAGCATCTTTCCATGTGCTTATCCCCATTTCTATATCTTCTTTGAAGAACTGTCTATTCTACTCTTTTGTCCTCTATTTTATTGTTTGTTTGTTTGTTTTGAGATGGAGTCTCGCTTTGTGACCCAGGCTGGAGTTCAGCGGTGCAATCTCGGGTCATTGCAACCTCCGCCTCCCGGGTTCAAGCAATTCTCCTGCCTCAGCCTCCCGGGTAGCTGGGACTACAGGCACGTGCCACCACGACCAGCTAATTTCTGTACTTTTAGTAGAGACAGGGTTTCACCATATTGGCCAGGCTGGTCTCGAACTCCTGGCCTCAAGTGATCCACCCACTTTGGCCTCCCAAAATGCTGGGATTACAGGCGTCAGCCACAGTGCATATTTTAATTGGGTTATTTATTTTTTGTTGTTGAGTTGTGGGAGTTTTTCACATATTCTAGATATTCATCAGTTATCAGTCACGTAATTTGCTAGCAGTTTCTCCCATTATGTGGGTTGCCTTTTTGCTCCGTTAATAGTATGCTTTCATGTACCAGTTGGTTGAATGTTTTTTGTTTTTTGGGGTTTTTTTGAGATGAAATCTCAAAGTGAGCTGCCCACCTAGGCCTCCCAAAGTGCTGGGATGACAGGCGTGAGCCACCGCGCCTGGCCTGTTGAGTGTTTAGTCACGAGAGGGTGTTGAATTTTGTCCAATACTTTTTCCGCGTCAATTGCATTTATCGTGTTCTTTCCTTCTTTCACTCTTTTAATATGTAGGATTTTTTCTCAGTGCTGAGTTTTGATTATTCTTTATATAGCCCAGCTACAAGTCCTTTGTCAAATATGTCCTTTGCAAATATTTTCTTTTCAAGTAGTTTTTGTTTTGTGTTGTTTTTGTGTTTTGAGACATAGTCTCACTCCGTCGCCCAGGCTGGAGTGCAGTGGTGCCGTCTCAGCTCACTGCAACCTACACCACCCGCGTTCAAGCAATTCTCCTGCCTCAGCCTCCCAAATGGCTGGGATTACAAGCCTGCACCACCACACCCGGCTAATTTTTGTATATTTAGTAGAGACCGGGTTTCGCCATGTTGGTCAGGCTGGTCTGGAACTCCTGACCTCAAGGGATCTGCCCACCTCAGCCTCCCAAAGTGCTGGGATTACAAGCGTCAGCCACGCACCATGCTTCAAGTAGTTTTTGATAAAAGTGCAAAAGCAATACAATGGAGAAAGGATCGTGTTTTCAACAAACAGTGCTGGAGCAGCCATAGGCCAAACTAATGAACCTTAGCCAAGCCTCACAGCTGAGACAAAAATGAACCCAAAGGAGATCATGGGCTTTAATGTCAGATTTAAAACTATACAACTTCAAAAAGACATAGGAGAAAATCTAGACCTAGAGCTGGGTGAAGAGTTCTTTGACTTGACACCAAACAGGAAAAAAAAAAAGGTGAGTTGGACCTCACCACAAACAAACACTTCTCTGTGAAGACTCTGTCAGGATTAGAAGATGTTTTTGAAGTAAAACAAAAGATCTGGAGAATCATGGGTACTTTTGCAAGAGCAATGCTCTTTAGCCGTACACCTGAAAATTCTGGTGTCAGAGCTTAACCAACCTCTACTCAGGAACACAGTTCACAGCAAAAAAAAAAAAAAAAAAAAAAAAAAAAAAAAAAAAAAAAGGGAATGGATGTACAGGGTTTCTCTCTGCTCTTTTTTTGAGACGGAGTCTCGCTCTGTCGCCCAGGCTGGAGTGCAGTGGCGGGATCTCAGCTCACTGCAAGCTCCGCCTCCCGGGTTCATGCCATTATCCTGCCTCAGCCTCCCGAGTAGCTGGGACTACAGGCGCCGCCACCTCGCCCGGCTAATTTTTTGTATTTTTAGTAGAGACGGGGTTTCACCATGTTAGCCAGGATGGTCTCGATCTCCTGACCTCGTGATCCGCCCGCCTCGGCCTCCCAAAGTGCTGGGATTACAGGCGTGAGCCACCGCTCTTGGCCGGCCCTGGTTTGTTTATCTTTCTTTAAAGTGAGAGGGTAGAAGGCTTCCCCAGCACTCACGCCGGCTCCCCAAAGAGGGCCGATGTGGGTGACTTTGAGTGACCCCCCAAAGCAGATCCCGAGGCCTGCGCTTCTCGAATCTTCTCCGCCAGGGCGCTGGTGGAGCCGTTTCCCAGCCGGTGCCTCTGGCCCAGAGAATCGTACTGCAAGGCGGTGGTTCTGCAATGCCCTGTGGATTCGCCCCAACGCCTTGTTGGCCCGGGGACCCTAGCGATGTTGTATAAAGAAAGGAAATATGTAAGTATACGGCCAGGAGAAAGATAGCAAGGCCGAGCGGTCTAAGGCTCCGGATTAAGGCGCCGGTGTCTTCGGAGGCATGGGTTCGAATTCCACCTCTGCCAACTTGTTGTGATTTCTCCATTTTGTCCCCCCATGGGTTGCAAAAGGAGGATTCATTGGAACTCGCCTTGGGCCCCACGCATGCTCGGGATCTGGATTCCACTTGGCAGCGCGCAGCCGTCCAGCGGACGGGCTTTGTGCGAAGTTCGTCGGCGCCGCTGTCCAGGGCAAGTGAGGTGGGTTCAGTTCTTCCCAGGTGCCTCAACCGTTGAGGAAAGGCAACGGTATAAATACCCTTGATGGCCTTTTCTCCGTAACCAGGTGGAGATAGTGGTGGGGTGTTCCAGGCTAGTTTTCTTGTAATAAATTTGAAGTAATGAGATGAAAAGCATAAGATTCTGTTTCCGCCCGGTTTCGAACCGGGGACCTTTCGCGTGTTAGGCGAACGTGATAACCACTACACTACGGAAACTTGCACGCGTTTTCTGACCCACCACAATGAGCCACCACACAAGGCCGCATTTTATTTCTCATGGTAATTCTGAGCTTCCTCCATGCGTCCCTTCGAGCTTGGCTAATGGGCATGAGCACACAAGAAAAGGACGTTTCAGCACTTGGAAGGCTGAGATGGATGGACGGCTGGAGCCCAGGAGGTCGAGGCTGCAGTAAGCTATGATTGCGCCACTGCACTCCAGCCTGGAAGACAGAGCAAGACTCAGTCTCGAAAGAGAGAAAAGAAAGAAAAAGGGAGAGAGAGAGAGAGAAGCAAGAAAAGGAAGTTTTCATGCCTGATGTGGTGGCATAAGCGGGCATGGGAGTCCTGACAGAAGGTGTGGTGGCGACCTCAGAGAGACGTGAGGCAGTCGAGCTGTCTGGGGTTGACAGTGGGCCTGGGGGTTGAACAGCAGGGGCGCGCTGGCAGCGTTTTCTAAGAGAAGAGACTTTCAGAAGAAGCTGCTTGGGGAATATGAGGCCATGCGTTCGTGAGTGGAGCTGGAGCTTGTGTGCCTGGAGAAACTGGAGTGGAATGAAAGAGGAAGTAGCCCACAACACCATTTTTATTGTTCCATTGTTTGGTAGAGCTCTAGATTATCCAAGCAGCCACTGCTGTTGGACATTTAGGTTATTTTCCTCCCATCAACCATGTGAAAGCGTTATGAGGCTACCTCCTTGGCAGCATTTGGTACTTTTCACCTATTACGATGATTATTTTTTAACTTCTAGCCATTCTTCTGGGTATGTAGTATTTCCTCATGGTTTAAGTTTGCATTTAGCTGATGAGGAAAGACGATAAGCACTTTTTCATGTGTATGACTCATTTTTTTAATCTTCCTTTGTGAGGTGTCTCTTAAATATCTCTTCCATTAAAAACAAAGAAACAGAAAACAAACATCCAAAAAATCCCCCAAAACAAAAAACAGAGGAACTGGCCTCGCCTGGTGGCTGACACCTGTAATTCCATCACTTTGGGAGGCCGAGGCAGATGGGTTATTTGAACCGATGAGTTCAAGGCCAGTCTGGGCAACATATTGGGACATCATCTCTACAGAAAATCCCAAAATTAGCCAGGAGTGGTGGCACACACCTGAAGTTTCTGTAGCTACTCGGGAGGCTAAGGTGGGAGTATGGGTTGAGCCTGGGAGTTTGAGGCTGGAGTAAGCAGAGACGTCACTGCTGCACTGCTGCCAGGACAACAGAGCAAGACCCTGTTCCAAACACACACACACACACACACACACACACACACACACACACACCCCAAACATGTGTCCGCACATGGTCTTTCGTCTGTGCACATGTACCCGTGATGGCCCTGTGTGTCCACATTTCCTCCTCTTATAAGGACACCTGTCAGATTGGATTGGGGTCCACCCTAGTGACCTCATTTTAGTGTGACCACCTCTTTAAAAGCCCTATGTCCAATACAGTCACATTCTGAGGGAAAGAGGGTTGGAGTGCTAAGATGGATTTTGAGGGAAACGTAATTCCACCACAGTAAGACCTTTCAGGCCTGAGATCTCCAGGTGAACAGAACGGCAGGGTCCAAACTGCAAAGGGAGGCTACGGGGGGTTTCAAAAGTGTCACCTTTAGGCTAGAGGTGGGAGGAAGTGATCTTCTGGGGCTGCTTGGCTGGTTGTTCCAATGCGTCCAGGAGGAGAAACCGGGTTGGCGCTGCCTTTGCCGCTTTGGAAGGCCATTCGGATTCATTTCCAGTGTTACACATTTCTGGAAGTGATGCATACCCAGGCCCTGGGCACAGTTTGGGGACCCACTCTGTGACCACAGGCCAGCCACTCCCATCTCTGAGCCTGTTTTCACATCAACAAGATGAGAGGGTGAATGAGATGATCTCTAAGGTTCCTGCTGGCTCTAAACTCTCAGCTTTCCTGTCACTGAGTTTCGCCCTGTTTCTAAGATTTCTGCTGAATATCCTGCCCTTCAGCAGAGTGAGTGAAAGCCAAGATAAAGAGCCAGTTTTCTGGGATGTCCTTCTTACAGGTGGAGAAGGTGGCCCATGTGACAGAGATGGGGCACTCACCCCCAAACGCCTCCCAGCATCCCCCCTGGCATAGCTCTTCTTCCTACCTCTTTGACCCCCTAGAGCCTTGGGCCTGGGGCACAGCAGGAGCTCACAGCTGTCTGTCATGAGAGTCATTCCACCGCTGGCTCAGCTGCTCTGGGCTGGGGCAAAGCTGGCCACTGTCTCAGAAGGACCCACATGGTGTCCCAGAAGACAGGGAGGGCCTTGGGAAGACTGGGCCCTGCTTACTCGTCTCAGGACAGAGTCTGGGTAAGTTGGCCAGAAAAGCCATTGTCATCATTTGAGCTGCCCCAAAGATAAGAGCTCAAGGAGCAAAAGTGCAGATTGGTATAAACTGTCACAGTGTCCTGGAGGGGGCCTCTGAGGTCAGTTGGACAAATGCCCACAGTGTCTTCTGGGGAAACCAGGAGTTGAAGGCTGTGCTGCCTGTGGGCCTCCCCCTCTGCTGTAGTCTCTGGAGGGAGGAGTGGGTGAGGAGGTTCCTAATCTGGGTCCTATCTGGAACCTCTTTCCTCCTGACTCTAGGTCCTGAGTTTAAGACACCGGTTTTCCCCTCTCAGCAGGGGCCAACTGGACTCCTGCATTCATTTCCGCTCAGGATTGGTCTGCACAAGGCCCTTCTTTAGCCTTTAAACTTATCCATGCCTTTAGGCTCATTTATCTGTTCCCTGCTATGCACACACTCAGTCATCCCCACCCCCATGTCTGCTGTGTGAGCAGGGCTGTGCTTGCCAGGGCACCTGGGTCTGTGAGGCTGCGGGCGCCTCTAGATCATCAATCTCGGCCTCGTCTCCTTTTTCCCCACTGGAATCTCTCGGCTCATCCACATGGCTGCCCATCCCCAATGACGATGCTCGTCCTGGCCCCACCCCCAATGACGATGCTCGTCCTGGCCCCACCCCCAGTGACGATGCTCGTCCTGGCCCCACCCCCAACGACGATGCTCGTCCTGGCCCCACCCCCAACGACGATGCTCGTCCTGGCCCCACCCCCAACGACGATGCTCGTCCTGGCCCCACCCCCAACGACGATGCTCGTCCTGGCCCCACCCCCAACGACGATGCTCGTCCTGGCCCCACCCCCAACGACGATGCTCGTCCTGGCCCCACCCCCAACGACGATGCTCGTCCTGGCCCCACCCCCAACGACGATGCTCGTCCTGGCCCCACCCCCAACGACGATGCTCGTCCTGGCCCCACCCCCAACGACGATGCTCGTCCTGGCCCCACCCCCAGTGACGATGCTCGTCCTGGCCCCACCCCCAGTGACGATGCTCGTCCTGGCCCCACCCCCAGTGACGATGCTCGTCCTGGCCCCACCCCCAGTGACGATGCTCGTCCTGGCCCCACCCCCAGTGACGATGCTCGTCCTGGCCCCACCCCCAATGACGATGCACGACCTGGCCCCAGCCCTGGGGGTTTCTTGGGGACATCCTAGGTGTGATCTCACTGGGTCTGGGCTGCCTCTCCTCACTGCCTCCTAGGAAGCCCCACCGCCTGCTCACTCTTCAGTCATCAGGCTCTGGCTGCGTCGCCCACACTTTCGGAACCAGCCTCTCCCCTCACCGCCCGGGGCCCTTCCTTCGCCTCCTGAAACAGCCTCCCCGGCCCTGCACCTAGTGTGGGTTTGGGCAAAGCCCCTGCATCCTTCTGAGCTCAGGGCCTGCCACAGGCCAAAGCCTTGGCCACCCCCGACGCTGCCCCCTGCTCCCTGCATTTCTGTGCTGGAGGGGCTGTGAGCGTGCGCTACCATGGCCAGGGTGCTATTATTTCACTCTGCCATGTGTGGAGTGTGGGGTGTCACCCTCGGGTGTCAGCTCAGGACCACACAGGCCCTGGGACAGGGATGATGGGAGCACGGTTGCCAGCTCCAGGGAGGCCCAGACCTGCCTGCCTGGGTCACCCTCATGTACGTCCCAGTCTGTTAGTGACCACAGTGGGTCTTCGGGAGACAGGCAGACCTCCCACACCCCTGAAAGTTGGGCCTGGGGGATGGCTGTGGGTTAGAGAGGAGGGCCTCGCCCACAGGGACCTCGGGCCATGGGCACTTCCCCGCTGCAGCCTCTGCCCTGCAGCACCCCCTGGCTCTGGGTGTGGCTTTTGAGGTCCCCACAATCACACCCATCCTCTGCCTGCAGGTGTTCCCCACCACCCTCCCATGAGCCCCTTCCCTGCACCTCCCCCAGGCCGTCCTCAGCGGGGCCTCTGCTGATCTTCTCCGCAGTCAGTAGGAGCTCCCACGGGGTCCTCCTGGGCCGACCTGTGCTGCCGCCACGCACCTCACTCTCTTTACTGTTGCCAGCCCCCTGCAGTCCATACTGTTATTATCCCCATGTGACAGATGAGGACACCGAGGCACAGAGAGGCTGGCAGCCTTGCCAAGGGCAGCAGGAGGGAGGCTGGAATAGTCTGGACCCCACTCCGCTCTCTTTTTCACCTACACTAGATCTGTCTGTATGGCCACATCCCTGGCTATTTCAGCCCAATACGATGGCACAGGTCACTTAAATAAAAAAGAAAACAAACCAATAAACAAACATAAGCGCCTGCACCTGCCCCATGCTGTCTGTGCTTTCTCCTCTGGTTGGGATCGTGGCTCTCTGCTGCCCTCCTGTGGCCGTTGGTTTTCCTGGGTGGGGAAGGGTGCTGGCCTCATTCACAACAGCAGATACTCATTCCTCCAGGGTCAGGCTATGGGGCTCAACGTGATCAGGACAGATCTGAGCCCCGTGGTTATGGAGATGCCAGCTTAGCTTTCATACGTGACACAAACACATACACAGTCTTTCCAAATGGAGGTGTAGAGCAATTTTTAAATTTAAAATTCATGTTTTATTTTTAATTGTTCTAGAGATGGGGTTTCGCTATGTTGCCCAGGCTGGTCTCAAACTCCTGGGCTCAAGTGATCCTCCTGCCTTGGCTTCCCAAAGTGCTGGGATTACAGACATGAGAAACCCTGTCCAGCTGAAATGGAACATTTCTAATCTGTAGAGATAGGATCTCTCTGAGTTGCCCTGGCTGGGGTGCAGTGACACTGCAGCGTCAGACTCCCGGGCTCAAGTGATCCTCCCACCTTGGCCTCCCCATTATCAGCTGGGATTATAGGAATGAGCCACCATGCCTGGCTTCAAGCAATTTTTTATATTCACACACACACACAAAACATTGACCTAACTGATTGCAATGAAGATTTGTCACATCTATGCCCCAAAATCACCCAATAAAATGAACAGACAACTTGATGGGAAAGGATTTGGTAAGGTAGTTGGCAAAAAAAAAACTGGCCTTGAGCATTTTAAACTGTTAATTATAAAAAATGTCAGGCATACACAAAAGTGAAGCAAGTAACAAAAACTCCCATGTCCCCTGGCAAGATTCTTGCTTCTTTTACTCTCCTGTGCTTTCACATGTTTTCTTTTTATTTTTTGTTTATTTATTTATTTACTTATTTATTTTCGAGACAGGCTTCTGCTCTGTGGCCCAGGCTGGAGTGCAGTGGCATGATCATGGGTCATTGCAGCCTCAGCCTCCTAAGCTCAAGCAATCCTTCCGCCTCAGCCTCCCAAGGAACTCAGCCTCCCAAGTAACCACGCCCGGCTGATTTTTGTACTTTTTGTAGAGATGGGGTTTCACCATGTTGCCCAGGTTGGTCTCCAACTGCTGAGCTCAAGCAATCCTCCCACCTTGGCCTTGGCCTCCCAAAGTGCTTGGATTACAGATGTGAGCCACCGCACCTGCCCCCCCCCCACATGTATTTCCTCTCTATATTATTTTCTTACAAATCTCTAACAATTACACATCTCTAAGTTTGCAGTTGCTCACACTGAGACTAGTTATGCAACTCTTGTTTCATAAGGAGCATTGATTAGTGAACTGAAGTGTGTGCCTGGACATAAGAGGACCCTGTGGAACCTTTTTGTGACATGGAACTTACCACATTTCTGGGTGCTAGTGGCGTTCAGTAGATAATTTTCAATGGAATTCCCTGGTCCTTGTGCGGGAAATGAATTAAGGACATCAAGCCTATGCCAATGAAATGCAATTAAAATGAAATAGGAATTTCCCCATCATGGGACTAGATAAGGTAAAGGCTGGTGAAACTTTTGCTTGGGTGATTATGATCCAAAATTCTGCATCACGGAAGGGGGCTGGATTAAGTTTGCTCTAAATTTTCTTCCAGTCTAGGGGTTCAGTGGCTATAGATAAAGAGTTGTGGTTGAAACACTCAAGGTACTTACGGGTTGAAGGGTGCAAAATCCCAGAGAAATCTGAGTGGGCATGAGGTTAATCAGGGATGCTTCCTGGAAGAGAAGAATTTGGGGCAAATAGAAATGTGTACAAGGCAAAAAGATATGATGAAAATGAGGAGAATACACAGAAAGATATTTGATATTATAGAGCTTAAATTAATTTGGTAGGTTGGGCATTACCTAAGTGATATCAGCAAGTGGTCACAGAATACACTAAGATCCATCTACACAGTGGAAAATCTTGCAGCCCCGTGACTAAGGAAAGTTACTTCTATTTTCACCAGTCCTTGGAGACACCTTTTCAGGCAATTAAACCCCCAAGGGAAGGAGCCTCCTCCGAAGTTGTTTGCTCATCTCAGCTGCGCTGACAAACCAGTCTTTCCCATGGGGAGGTGAAGAAGAAAACTGGACGATGAGGCAGGGACTTACCGATTTGAGCCCTAGCTTCCTCTCCTGTAAAATGGGCATAATATTTTCACCACAGAATGTTTCCTGTGAGAATTAAGCTGAGTGGACAATCTAAAGTCAACCACGGTAGGCCCTGGGTGCCACTTCCCTCCACCTCTCCAAAGCCTGAAGCCCAGCAAACACCTCCCTGGGGTTTAGTCTAATCCTCAGGACCAGTTCTGGCCTCTTTTCTCTCCGCCTTCAATGGAGATATTTTTTTTCCATGAAAAGAGAATTTTACTGCAAATAGGACAGGTACAGAGCTTGGAAGGATGGATACAAGTCCTGCAAATAGTTCACACTGAAATTCTGAAAATAGGTTTTCAAATAGCAGATGAAATTCTGTCACCATGCTCCAGTCTTCATTCCCCGAAGGGGAAGGAGTTCAGCCAGTTTTCTCCTTACAGAAGCTGAGCTGACACAGAGCAGCACACACTGCTAGGACGTGGTGAGGAGACAGCAGGCTTGGGGGATTTCCACTGAATACACAAGCAAGCATGTCTCTACCCTGTCCCTCATTATCTCAAAGACAACTTGTATGCTTTTAATACGTCTTTATGAAGTTTCCAGTGTGAGGAGTAGACATTCTCTAAAGAGAACTATAAAGGCTTATTTTCTGTCATCTGTAAGTTGTTCATTTAAGACCCTAGGGTTGGGCTACAACTGTTGTGAGACATCATATAAACATCATGCAGGTGGGATCTACGTCTACACATAGATCACAGAGCGAAGTCTCCCACAGAGTAAGCACAGAATAAAACATTAGCAAGGAGAGTTAGGAGGCTCAGCTCAACGTCTTCTTCTAGTAGAAGTAATTCCAATTTTAAATAATGAGTGACAGCAATCCCAATGTCTTATTTCTGCACAGTGCTGATTTACAATGTCCTATATTCATTTTCAATGTATAGTGTAAAATAATTAGTACACAAAAGATTGGGAGGAAAAGTTGTTTCTTCATCAGATAAAAAGTACTGATGTTGGCTGTGCGTGGTGGCTCACGCCTGTAATCTCAGCACTCTGGAAGGTGGATTGCTTGAGTCCAGGAGTTCGAGACCAGCCTGGGCAACATAGTAAAACATTGTCTCTACAACAATAGTGGATCCCTTACTAAAAAATTAGTCAGGTGTGGGGCACGCACCTGTAATCCCAGCTACTCAGGAGGCTGAGTTGGAGACTCACCTGAGCCCAGGAGATCAAGGCTGCTATAAGCCGAGATTGTGTCACTGCACTCTAGCCTGGGTGACAGAGTAAGAACTGAAAGAAAAAGAAAGAAAGAGAAAGAGGAAGAGAAAGAAAGAACGAAAGAAAGAACAAAAGAAAGAAAGAAAGAAAGAAAGAAAGAAAGAACTGATGTAGTGTTTAAAAAGACCTTCCAAGTCTGAGGGTGTCACAATCATCATAATTCACGAGGAAACCAAGACTGAAAATGAGAGAATTATTAACCCGACATCCCTGGAGCTAAGAGATGGCAGAGCCAGGCACTGGATGCCCTGGGTTCAGTGCTGGCTGCCGATCCTGCAGCGGTCCAGCCCCTTCCTCAGTGCCCCCATCACCTCCCTGTTCCTCAAGCTGTAAATGAGGGGGTTGAGCATGGGAGTAAGGACCGTGTAGAAGATAGAGGCCACCTTGTCATGGCTGGGGGCCCGGTAGTGCCTAGGCCTCAGGTAGATGAACATGGCTGCCCCATAGAAGAGGGTGACAGCTGTCAGGTGGGAGGAGCAGGTGGCCAGGGCCTTTTTCCAGGCCTGAGCAGAGTGCATTTGCAGCACAGTCCCTAGAATGTGAGCATAGGAGGCCACGATGATGGAGAATGGGAAGAGAAGCATGAAGACACAGCAAGCAAATATCACCTTCTCAAACAGGGATGTGTCTACACAGGCCAGCTTCAACAAGGATAGCATCTCACAGAAGAAATGGTTCACCTTCCTCAAGCCACAGTAGGGGAAATTCATTACTACCACCATCTGGATCAAGCCATCGATTATCCCAAAGGCCCAGGAGCTCCCAGTAATCTGGAGACAGACCCTCTGATTCATGAGGATGGGATAGTGAAGTGGGTGGCTAATGGCCACATAGCGGTCATAAGCCATGAGTCCCAGCAAGAGCCCCTCAGATCCCACAAGACAGACAAAGAGGCCAATTTGTATGCCACAGCCCACAAAGGAGATGGACTTCCTGCCAGACAGGAAGTTGGCTGCCATCTTTGGCACATTGGTACAGACCAACATGAGGTCCATGAGGGAGAGCTGGCTGAGGAAGAAGTACATGGGGGTGTGAAGGTGAGGGTCCATGTAGATGAGGAAGATGAGGAGGACATTCCCACAGAGGGCCACTGTGAAGACCGCCATAACCACGGAGAAGAGGACAAGGTCAGCAGTACTGTGGGAGAAGATGCCTAAGAGGAAGAAGCCATCTGTGTAGGACTGGTTCACCCACGTCTCCATGGCTCGGTTGTTGCTCCTGGTCACCTGAGAATATGGACAAGATGTGTTACATTGACTGACATCTCTTTATAGACCTCTGCTGCTATGTCTTCAGTCAGCTGTGTTGTGTGCAACTCATTAGATCTCAACAACTGAAGCTTTGGGACATAATAGGGGACACTCCATATCTCCCTAACACAGCGGTGGGGGCCCTCCTGGCTCCTAGAATTGGACTGTGTTTATGTGCTGTATGTATCCTTACCACAAAGAGAAGAACTGAGTTGTTTCATGTGTCAGAGACCTTCGGACAACCCCCTTCAGCAGGCAAAGTCTTGGCTGTACCATATGATACAGAGTCTTTTTTTTTTTTTTTTGAGATGGAGTCTTGCTCAGTCGCCCAGGCTGGAGTGCAGTGGCGAGATCTCTGCTCACTGCAACCTCCCCCTCCAGGGTTCACGCCATTCTCCTGCCTCAGCCTCCCGAGTAGCTGGGACTACAGGCGCCCGCCACCACGCCCAGCTAATTTTTTTGTATTTTTAGTAGAGACGGGGTTTCACCGTGTTAGGCAGGATGCTCTCGATCTCCTGACCTTGTGATCCACCCGCCTCGGCCTCCCAAAGTGCTGGGATTACAGGTGTGAGCCACCGCGCCCGGCCGATACCGAATCTTTTACCTGGGATCACATGGACTTGGGAAACAATGTTTAACGGGGCCGGGACCATTTCATTCCCAGGAGATAATTCATGTGTGCTGTAGAAAGGAAGGGAAGAAACAGGAGTTGCTCCTCAGTCTGGAGTCTCTCTCTATGTTCTGAGAGTTTTCTCATGCTTACCACTCTATTATGTTCAGACTACAGGGAAAGGATGTTCTCCTGTTGTGCCCCACGTGAGAAAGGAAGAGTTGCGATGGACGGTGTCATTGTCAGTCATACCGCGAGTGACAGGAAGTCACAGGGCCAATGAGGTGAAGCAATGACTTGGTGCCCAAGAGTCTTAAGAACAGTGAGGTTTCAGTTATGCTGGGGCTTAGAAAATAATCCCTTAGTCAGGGCTTCAGTAGAAGAGGCTGGCACATCAGTATAGGTAATACCTGCTTCCTAAGTTATCTTTAGTAGAAATCAAAGTGCCTTCTTTATGAGATCCTTGTAACTGATATACTTCACTGGGATTTCTGAGTCATTTCCTCACTGCTTCATCAAAGTTTCAATGGATTTATTTGGAGCCTGCTAATAAAGAGGGGTTTCCCTTGATATTTAGCCAAGAATTATTTTGTGTTTTTGTGTTTTTGAGACAGGGTCTCCCTCTGTCACCCAGGCTGGGGTGCAGTGGTGTGATCTCGGCTCATTGCAACCTCCGCCTCCTGGGATCAAGCCATCCTGTCACCTCAGCCTCCCATAGGTGCCTGCCACCATGCCAGGCTAACTTTTTTTTTCTGTTTTTATTAGAGATGGGGTGTTGCCATCTTGCCCGAGCTGGTCTCGAGCTCCTGAGCCCAAGCGATCCGCCTGACGTGGCCTCCCAAAGTGCTGGGATTACAGGTGTGAGCCACCATGTCCTGCCAAACAATTTGTCCTAAACACCTTAGTATCGAGAGGCACCAGAGACATGATATGATTTTACACGGACAAAGCCAAGTCAGGAAATCACATCATGTATATTAAAAAAGACAAAGCATCCTTGACGGTAGAATATCTGAAGCCAAGGCAAATAACAGAACAGATCATTATAAACAACAAGCGGAAAACATCACCGTATTCCGACTCTGAGTCTGTTATCACTGGCGTCACGCTCTCACCCGGCTGAGCCTTGTCTTCGCCCTCCAAGGAGTTCCCAGTTTTCCTTAGGCCTTTTCATGTTCTATTTCTCATTTGCCTCCTTCCGATTTGTTTGTCCCTTTAGCCATCCGGGCCTGCACCGTCAGGCACCATCACTGTAAGTAGCGCAGCACTGCAGTGCTTCCCCGCTTTTCCTCCCTTAACTTTGTATGAGTTTCCTACTGCTTTGTAACAAATAGCTCCAACACTGAGCAGCTTAAAACAGAATAACACATATTTGTTATCTCATGGTTCCTGTGGGCCAGGGATCCAGTGAAGCTCATCTGGGTGCCTCCGGCCTGAGGCCTCTCCTGAGGCTCTGGTTCAGCTGTTGGCACCTTGTTCCCTCCTCGCAGGTGCCTCACCACGTGGCCATTGCCTCCTGCCAGGGCAAGTGATCCTCCAGAGAGTGGAAGGAAATCGCCCTAGAGAGGAGTGGGGTATTTTGTGACCTCACATCAGAAGTCACAT
The DNA here is from genome assembly GCF_000001405.40 of Homo sapiens. Taxonomy (NCBI): domain Eukaryota; kingdom Metazoa; phylum Chordata; class Mammalia; order Primates; family Hominidae; genus Homo; species Homo sapiens. The sequence continues at coordinate 181,152,679 of NC_000005.10, read as the reverse complement.
CCCTTCAGCTCTGCGTATTCTGTTTTTAGACGTGAGTCACTAATCATCACCGAGGTTGTCCCTGGAATTCAGCATGTCCGGAAATGCAATGCTGATTTTCCTCTAGGGTTGGGGAATTGTGTTTACACTAACCAACTCACAAGTCAGGAACTTACTAACCACAGGAGAGTGTGCGTCCACCTGTAACGAGAGCTGCATCTCACAGGACACCAATGCCACTCTTCAGCAAAAGCATCTCCAGTTGTTCAGAGTTCAGACAAGAAGGCTGTTTGGTGAGCCAAGAGTCAGAGAAAAAGGAACTGGAAGCTCCTAACTGAGAAATTTTACAAGATAAGGCGGCTTACCCCCTCAGGATATTTTCCCCAGGAACAGCCTGATCTAAAGTTAAGTTTCCAGAACGGACATTCAAAGACTCTTTGTCAATCTTGGTTCTGCGTTTACTAAACATGGGCTGTGCAGCCAGCTTCTCAGAGCCTCCGTTTCCTCCTTTGTAAGGGGGTCCATTTTAATAACCACTGTACCTTTATTGCAGGATCACTATGAGGCCAAAAGGAAAATGGATGTGAGTACTGTGGCTGGGACACTGAATGTGATTTTTCTGAGTGTGTGCTGCCTGTCACTAGAGCCCCGCCTCTTCTCAGCAGATCGGAGATAGACGGATAAACCCAAAGCCTTTGATTTTTTTTTTTTTTTTTTTGAGACAGGGCCTCGCTCTGTCTCCCAGACTGGAGCACAGTGGCATGATCAGCTCACCGCAGTCTTGAGCTCTTTGACTCAAGAGATCCTCCTCACTCAGCCTCCTGAGTGGCTGGTACTACAGGCGCACACCACCACACCTAGCTAATTTTTTATTTTTCATAGAGACAGGGTTTTGAACGCCTTGCATCAGCTGATCTTTCCGCGTCAGCCTCCCGGTAATGCCAAAGCCGTCATGGGATCCCAGACGCCCCTCCCAGCCCCAGCTTCAACTGCAAATTTCCTACAGAACATATACAGCTGCGTGTCTTGCTGACACCTCAGACAGAAAACAACCAAGCAGTATTTTTCAGCTGCGCGCCCTACAAAAGTCATGTCCCCTCCTCTCATCTTATTAATGCTGATGTCCTTAAGGGCTCAGCTCAAGTCCACTTTTGCCACGAAGGGCCCCCACCTGACCCCACCAGACGATCCCTTCCCATGCACGTGGCACCTCTTTGGCACAATGCATGTGCTGCTGAGGGCTGCAGCTGGGGTCAGTACAGCCTCCTGATTGGTCCCTGGCTTCACCCAGCAGACTGAGGGCGAAGGCATCGCCTGCAACTTAAGCCAGATGGTGTCAGTCTTGTGCTCAGGATATGCCACTGGCTCCCAACACACTCCCAGCAAGGGCCAACGCCCTTCCAGGATCCCCCCACTTCCCCTCCCGCAGCTGTCTGCCCTCACCCCTGACTCTGGATGTCTCATCTGCCAGGCCCTTTTATTATTATTTTCTTCCTGGAGCACGCCAGATGCATCTGACCTTAGGGCCTTTCCTGCTCCCTCTGCACGGAGCATCTTCCCCACTTGTCTACACCCTCCTTCAGGTCTCCCCCACGTGTCTTCTGCTCATTGAGAACTTTGCTGCAAAGCGCCCCAGGCTGCCCTCCTTCCCTGCTTGCTTTCACTCCACAGCTCTCATCACTGCCTGATACTCTGCATGCTTACTTATCTGTGGGGCTTTTTTCCTGTTGTCGAGACAGGGTGGTCCAGGGTGGGGTGCGGTGGTGCAGTCAAGGCTCTCACTGTAAGTCGCACCTCCTGGGCTCAAGTAATCCTCCCACCTCAGCTGCCCGAGTAGCTGGGACCACAAGTGCGCACCATCGTGCTCGGCTAATTTTTTAATTTTTTGTGGCGATGGGGGTCTCCTTATGTTTCCCAGGCTGGTCTTGAACTCCTGATCTCAAGCAATCCTCCCACCTCGGCCTCCCAAAGTGCTGGGATTCCAGGCGTGAGCCACTGCACCTGGCCCTGTGGGTTCTGAATCATCTGCTCTATTCCACTGGCTGAGTGTCCTGAGAACAGCAGCTCCTGGTCTGGTTTGCTCTCTGCTCTGTCTCTAAGATGGTCCCACTGTGATACTCAGTTGCGTGCTGAGTAAAACAATACCATGAAGTGAAATGCAGCTGCAGTTTCCATGTTCCGAAAGCAGAGGATTTCCCCTTTACTGAGGGGAGCTTTCTCCTGACCTGAGCGTAGCAGAGGCCAGTGCTAGCTTCCTTCCCATGCAGAACTGTGACTGCCAGCGCATGTCTTCAGTTTACAAAAGACAAGGGTGAGAGGCTCAAATACCAGACAGTTGCATGCAGGTGTATTCAGGTACTTTTCTCGCTGCAAAGACAAAATGAGGCCATTCCACAGGACATGTTCTTTGTGCAAAGAGCTGGAGTAATGTCCTCAACTCTTATGCGCCTGCCCAGGTGCAGAGCCTTGGATTTAGCCACTTGAGCTGTGTTCCACAGAGCGGAGCACGTCCTGACTTGTGCCCTAGAAGATGTGCCCAGGGGTCCTTGCCAGCAACAACACCTACGTATGATGTGGTGGGGGTTTTCTATAGAAGCAAACTGCTGTTCTCACAGTCTTCAAACACCATCTTGGTCATAGGGGCCCGAGGCCCAACCAACCAGCAAAACAAACCAGGTCCCCCAGAAATTCACAGCAGAAGTTCCCCTTCCTGTCTGCACATGCCCAGCCCTACTACCGTGTTCAGAGGCACAGGCCACCTGCACCTTCAAAGACATGCATTGTCTCTATTTCTGATTCTCTCTCTCTTTCTCTGTCCATCTCTCTCTTCCTTTCACTCCGTGTTTACATTTCCATGTTTCTTCAGAAATGCTTATAGCACATTTACGTAACAAGTGACTCTCTCTATTTCTTTGCAAAAACTGAAAATAGACAGAAAACTGGAAAGGGCATCTGAAGCCATGGGCCCAAGACCCAGCCCTGCTGCCAGTTACTGTGGGCCGTGTCCATCTCTCTGTGACCCTGCAGACATAGCTGTGTCCTCCGCGGAAGGAAGATAATTGTGGTATACCTGTGAGCCTCTGACGAGGGAGGTTCTGTGGGGCTTCCAGGACAGGTTCTGCAGAGGTAACTTGTGCAATGCTATGTGAGTCACTAAAGACATTTGTCTCCCTATCCGGGATGGCTTCTTTGAACTCAGATTCTTACACCCGCTGTGTACTCAGCATCCCCCCAGATGGCCAGTGGGGCTGTTCTGCCTGAAGTGGCCAAACAGAGCTGTTGGTCTGCCCTGGAGAAACACTTGTCCTGTCCTCCTTCCCAGCTTGGTTGAAGACAGGTCTGTCCAGCTGCCCAGGTCACAGCACTCAGGTTATTCTGGAGTCCTCTCCTCTCACACACACATCCCAACCATTGGAAACCCCTGCTGGCTCTTCTTCCAAAACATATCCACCCCACATATCCACCCCTGACCCTCACTCACCCCTGCCAGCCCCCGCCTGGCCACATGATCTTTGCAGCCTCCCTGGAGGATGGCATTGATCCCCAAGTGGACTTGCCTCCTAAGTCCTCTCTAGTCCCCCACCCCAGGCTACTGTCACATAGCACTGGGGTGGACCCACCCCTGCAAAAATAAAGCCAAACAACTTCCAGAGGAAATGCAAGACCTCATCCGCAGGCCATCCGTCATCACCCAGACCTCCTTTCCTTCTGCTCTCCCCAGAGCTCTGTGGACTCCTGGATCCCTGGCCTCCCTGCGGGATTCCCTCACACAGCAGGACAAGGCCAAGGCCAATCCAAGGGCCTCGGTCCTTGCCCTCACCTCCGTGCAGAAGGCTCTTCCCAGACAGGCCCTGCCTTGTTCCCTCACCTCCTCCTCGCCTTCTTGGCAAGGCCTCCCTTCAGCACCCATTTAGAGTTGAAATCCTTCCTCCTCCCTCCCCTTCCCATCTTGGCTCCCACAGCACACAAAGCCAGGAGGCGGGCTCCATGCTCTCCACGAAGACACTTTCTCCTGCTTTCCCAACTAGGACCCATGTTCCCCGGCACGTCTGGTGCTCGTGGGGGGATCCCTGGCTCCTGGACCAGTGCCTGGCATCTATTGTGCTCTCAGTAACCACGTGATTAATGAATAATGATTGTTTTATGAAATACAACTGAATTTATTCTTGCATCTCACTGGCTCATTTTCCTGCTCTCTAACTTCAGACCTTTCTGCTGGGTGTTTAGCTAATGGCTTTACTTTTTTTCCTAGAAACCACAACATGGAAGAAGAAACTGTCTCTGCAATATTCTCCTGGGGATGAGAGGACCCCGTCCCACATCAGCCCCCTCCTTCCTATCCCTTCACCTTCGCACTCCCCACACATCCATCCTTGTCTTCCTGCGGTGGACCACTCTCCACCCCAGGGACCTAGAGCCCAGTCTCCAACCCAGACAGAGGGAGGGGGACAGGAAAAGGGGAGTAAGACACCAAGGATCGAGAGAGGGAAGTGGGTCAAAGGAACAAGACGAGAAGAGTGAGGAGAGACATCACACCAGAAGGCGGATGCCCCCCCAAAAATCCAAACAATTACACCCTGATGGAGGCAGACAGTAGGAGGAAGAACAAGTGCTGATGAACAAGACAAATGGGGACGTGAACCAGCAACGGGAGCAGGAGCTGCAGGGAAGAGAGAGGGGACGACAGGACAAGACCCTCACTCACCTGTGGGTGGGTCCCTGCAGGGGAACAAACTCAGCAGAGTCACCTGTGGAGGAGTTCCTAGCATCAGAGCCATGCACTCATCCTCCTGTTTTTGCTCCCACTGGGTCAGGGGACAGGAGGAGCCGCAGCCCCAACCTCCTTCCTCAGCCCGCACCGACTACTCATCGGGCTGTGGAGCCCACGGCACCCTCAGCCTCCAGTGGCCCCTCAGGCTCAGAGAGCGAGGCTCACACAGACCACAGCCTCCTCTCAGAGGGAGAAACAGGCTCAGGGAAGGAGCTGGTGCTGGCAGGAGAGGTGGAGCCAGGAGCAGTGCCCTGAGCCCACCCAGGATTCCCACCTGCCTCCAGGACACCCTGGCTCTGGCCAGGTTCCAGAACCGCCTCCCACTGCCCACATAGGTACTGAACCCAGACACGGGGTGAGGAGGGGAAGCTGACTTCAGACCTCAGCTCCCAGGGGACCCCACAGACTCCAGCCCTGGAAGAGGTGCTCCCAAGATTACAATTAAAAAGACCCACAGAGGGACCTGGGGACAGGAACAGGAGCAGGGCCAGTGGGGACAGCGTGAGGAAACCCAGCTGGGGGAGGAAGGATGCAGGGCACAGGAATACATGCCTGAAACCTGAATATCTGAGACAGGTCTCAGTTAATTTAGAAAGTTTATTTTGCGAAGATTGAAGACATGCACCCATGACACAGCCTCAGGAGGTCCTGACAACATGTGCCCAAGGTGGTCAGAACACAGTCTGGTTTTATGCATTTTAGGGGGACATGAGCCCTCAATCAACATTTGTAAGATGAACATCTGTTTGGTCTGGAAAGGCTGGACGACTCTAAGTGAGGACGCAGCTTCCAGGTCACAGGTAGATAAGAGACAAATGGCTGCATGCTTTTGAGATTCTGATGAGCCTCTCCAAAGGAGGCAACCATATATGCATTTATCTCAGTGAGCAGAGGGGCGACTTTGAATAGAATGGGAGGCTGGTTTGCCCTAAGCAGTTCTCAGCTTGACTTTTCCCTTTAGCTTTGTGATTTTAGGGCCCCAGGAGAAAGCATTTTAGAAGAAAACGAGTCTCTGGTCTCAGGTTTTGTCTTATCTCTCATGGCTGGGATGGTTTATTCTTAGATAGGTAGGTCCTGAGTTATTAGGAAAGCTCATTTTGAGCAGGTTGTGAAGTCTCATGTTCTATGAAGAGAAAATAGGGGGAGGAAGGGGGGAAAACAACAAGAAATGAAAGAATAGCCCTGGAAAATTAATATAGGCCACATTACCCTGAAGTCCATACATCAGTAGGCAGGTATGAGAGTGGTTTATGTATGTAAATAAGTTGCTGTTATTTTCTTCTGAAGTTTACGTTGTCTGGCTTCAGTTTGCAGGGCTTTATGAAGGCACAGCTTAGTTTTCAGTGACTCCAAATTAGGAAAAATGAGACAAAAAAGAAAAAAAAATAGAAAACATTATTTTGAAAACTTGTAGCCAAGAAAAATTAAAATTCATTCCAAACTGTAGAGAATAATAAAAATTGAAAAACATTAGACATGACTGGAAGCTAACGAGTGTACTATAGTTTTTGAAACGTAATTTGTTTTCTCCCCAGTTTCCCATTTTTACTAAAGACAAATCGTGGCAGGATTGATTTGCTTTAATATACTTGGCCGGATTATTTGTATACAGCATAGCAATAATAATAATAATAATAATAATAATAATAATAATAATTTTATTATTACTTTTGAGACAGAGTCTCACTCTGTTGCCCAGGCTGGAGTGAAGTGGCATGCTTTTGGCTCACTGCAACCTCCGCCTCCCGGGTTCAAGCGATTCTCCTGCTTCAGCCTCCTGAGTAGCTGGGATTACAGGTGTGTGCCACATACCTGGCTAATTTTTGTATTTTTAGTAGAGACGAGATTTCACCATGTTGGCCAGGCTGGTCTCAAACTCCTGACCTGAAGTGATCATCCACCTTGGCCTCCCAAAGTGCTGGAATTATAGGCTTGACTCACTGTGCTTGGCCTGAATAATTATGTTTTACATAGGTTTATAAATTGACTTTGATGGAACTTTGTTCCATAGAAGGAATCTCAGATAAGACTTTTTAAAGCCAAGCCCAGTCATAGATTTGTATCATCAAATACCTATGAGTTGGGTGAATTCCTCTCCTCTTGAGGTCCCAAGATAAAACTTGGGGCTCCTGGGAATGTCAGAAAGTGACATTCTTTACTTACCACAGATCAGGAACCCTGTACAGGGACTGTGTAGACAAGGTATGAGGGCGGTTTTCCCAGAAGGCTTTTATTGGCTCTATAAGTCAAGTTTGATTCCTTAAAGGAAAACACACCATTCCAGTCAAACCTTTGGGAAAATAACCAGTTTCTTCAATTGCATCCTGTTACAAATGAAAACAGGATCTTACTACATGTATGCAAATAACTGTATTGACATAAGTTAATAATACTCACAAATAGTTTCCAAATTCTGGAGAATTCAGGTAGAGAGAAACAAACATGCTCCAAATTTTATTTATAGGAGTATACTAACTTGTTAAAAGCTGCCAACAGCTCAAAAGAAAAGTTTCCTTGATTCTGAAAAAAACCAAACAAAGGATCAGCAACGTTTTAAGCAAAAAGTCAGAAAGATTACTTCAGTCTCTTATTAGTTCAGTCCATGCAGTTAATTCTGGTTCTGCTTGATATTCATCTCAGCCCTCCATGAGTCCTGAAAGTTTTCCCTCTATTCTGATGTCACACTCCCAAAGTTATCAGACACCTGCATTTAAGAGCACCTGTTAGAGTTTTATAGCTGATTATAAAACCACCTTCTAGAGAGGATCAAAACAAGACAAGAGTTGTCTGTGGATGACAAAAAGTTTCAGAGCAGTCATAGTCAAAGACACAATCGACATGGAAATTTATTACCTCTGTGGCACGTTAACATAACAATTGTAACTATTACTGATAATGCACACCAAGTCATATCATAATTATAGGAGTTTCCCATAATTTTGGAACACATACTAATAACATATTTATACAAATACAGCCCAAAGAAAACCAAACACCATTTCATATTTGATAATGCTTCTTGTATAATTTTTATACCAAATAAGCCAAATAATGTCATCTTTGGACTTAGGGAACCTAATACATTAGAGGATTACTTAGGTCACAAATATACATAATTAATAATTTAATTTAGAAAAGTTTGTCAACTATCAAAGGTTTAAAACACTTGATATCACAGGTCATTTAAAATAGGATCCTTAAGCAACAACTTCCCAGGAGAGGCTCTTGAAACTCCACAAAGTAAACAGAACACCCCAAAAGGGGTGAGCGGTGCCTTTGCTCTGCATCCTTTAAAGGGGTTCAAGTCATGAGAAGCCTTCTTTAGATTTTTTGGTACTGCAGAAGGCAAAGGGGGTAGGAGGTATAGGGTGAAGAAAAGTAAATTAAAGAACATTTATTTTATTTCTGTTTATTTCTATTTTTTATTTTTTATTTTTTTTGAGATGGAGTCTCACTCTGTCACCCAGGCTGGAGTGCAGTAGCACGATCTCAGCTCACTGCAACCTCCGCCTCCCTGGTTCAAGTGATTCTCCTGCCTCAGCCTCCTGAGTAGCTGGGATTACAGGTGCGCATCACCACGCCTGGCCAATTTTTGTACTTTTAGTAGAGACGTAGTTTCATCATGTTGGTCAAGCTGGTCTCGAACTCCTGACCTTGTGATCCGCCCACCTCAGCCTCCCAAAGTGCTGGGATTACAGGCGTGAGCCACTGCACCCAGCCAAGAACATTTATTTTTTTAAGACGGAAAGCAAACACAGAAACCAAGCTCATTTGTGTTTTGTTTTGTTTTGTTTTGTTTTTGCTTTGCTTTTTCCTCTTTTGCAGCTGCAAGGAGTTTTAGCCTAATTAGAGAGGCTTTGTTACCAACCATAATTTGGAATTCTCACTCGGATTTGATGAAGTCAGGTAGAGTTGGTCAAATCTGATGGGAGAAAGACCAGAACAAACAACAACAACAACAAATCCCAACAATAAGATCACTCAGTGCTGTAATGGGAAGAAGAAATTCAGACCAGCTGGTCATTAAACATTAGCCAAGACAAAACTATTCAGCTACTTACCTAGGGATGGGTCTGAGGCTGTAGACTGCTTTCTACCATCCTAGAAGCAGGAAAAACAACTGGAACTCATCTTCCCTTCTGGGAGTGAGCTCAAACTCCATAAAGGAGTTACGTGCCTTCCATCTTCAGGGAAGCAGGAGATCTTGCCTTCCTTGTTGGAAGCAAGTGAAATTCCAAAAAAGGGGAGTTGTTCAGGAAAATAAACTTTAGATCTTGACCTTTAGATCAGGAAAAAAACTTTAGATTTTGGGAGATCAGGGATTCTCTGGAGGAGGTACTCTCAGACCTCAGCAAGTTGTCCTATTGGTTTGAGCCATAAAGTTGGCTCATGCTGGTCCCAAGCACCGATAGGAGATCTGTCAAAGGTCAGGGGCATCTCCACTCAGAATCCCCCTGTGGTTACCAAAACGTGAACCCCAAATATCTGAGACAATCTTGGTTAATTTAGAAAGTTTATTTTGCCAAGATTCAGGACGTGCACCCGTGATACAGCCTCAGGAGGTCCTGAGAAGTGGCCAAGGTGGTCAGGGCACAGTTTGATTTTATGCATTTTAGAAGACATGAGACGTCAATCAGCATATGTAAAAAATGAACATTGGCTTGGTCTGGAGAGGCAGGGCAACTCAAAGCAAAGGCAGGACAACTCGAAGTGGGGAGGGGGCTTCCAGCTCATGGGTAAATAAGAGAAAAATGGTTGCATTTTTTTGAGTTCCTGATGAGCCTCTCCAAAGGAGGCACTCAGAAGATGCATCAGAGGGCTGACTTTGAATAGAATGGGAGGCAGGTTTGCCCTAAGCAGTTCCTAGCTTGACTTTTCCGTTTAGCTTAGTGATCTTAGGGCCCCAGGATTTATTTTCCTTTCACACAGGAATGCAGAGGATATTCTTGGTGTTCTACAGGATCCCCACATTCAGCACTTCCCAGTGAGCCCCAGCGCCCTCATGGGGTCTCCATCTCATACCTCATGGGAGGGAAAGAACAGCACCACATCCAGAGGAGTCGGGTGGAGGCATGTGGGCCTCGGTCATCACAAACCCTGACAGGCATTTCTGCAGGGCCAGTGCCTTCGTGGGTTGCTGGGGAGAGGGCTGAGGTGCACGGTTCCGATGCTGCCACCCGTGCAGGCACAGGCTGCACTGCCTTTCACTCTCAAGAGTGACCGTAAAGGTCACTCTGTGCTTGGCTTTATGTCTCCTGGAAATAGATCTCTTTTCAAAATGGCAAATTCATTGGAAACTCAATGGCGGAATCACCAACTCATCAGTTCCTTTTAACTGTTTGGTTTTATTTTACTGGTTTCCTTTTATTTTCACAACAGCAATAAAGCGTGTTTCACCTGCCATTCAAAGCTACTGGGGGCTTCAGCTGGAGACAAAACCACAGAGAACCTCAGTCAGATCAGAGGGCTGAGGGGAGACGGATTGTGGGGAGAGGGGCCAGTGTAGGGAGTGGACGCTGAGGACCTAGGAAAACAGGCCTTGGTCATGCTGGTTCCAGGGACAGCAAAGCGGGCTTTACAGAATCTCCCTACAATGCCAGCCTCCCTCTGTCCGAGCCTCCCTCTGGGCCATCCCTCCACAGCCAGCTGCTCTGCCCTTGGTCTGTGCAGGGGCCTGGTGTTTCCCCTCCACACTTTCGATCAAGCTGTTCTCCCCCGGGAACTTACTTTGCCTCTCTGTCTCCTCCTACTGAAACTTAACCAATCTACAGAGAAACATCTAAAGCTCCCCTTTACTCTTCCGACCTTCCAAAGACTCCATCCACAGCCCCTCCTCTGCTGTGAGCTCCTCCATGACAACACAGATGAGCCTGGAGGACTCTACACTCAGTGAAATAAGCCAGGCCCAGAAGGATAAATTCCGCACATCTCACTCGTATCTAGAATCTAAAACACACTCATGAAGGCAGAGCATACAAAGGCGGATCACAGGCTGGGGCTCGGGGGCCTGGGGAGATTTTGGTGAAAGAGTATACACAGTTTCAGTTAGGAGGGATACATTTTTGAGATCTATCTCACAGCACGGTGACTATAGTTAATAATATGTATTGTATGCTTTGAAATTGCTAAGAAAGTAGATTCCTGATGTTCTCATCATTAGATGTGGATGTTGACCTTAGTGTACACAGACCCCAGTTCAGTTTGGTACGAATAATTTTAAAATATCCTCCCAAAAGAAAGTCCAAGACCAAATGGCTTCAGTGATACATTCTACCATAAATTTAGGGAGGAAACAATAACAGTCTTCCAGGGATGTTTTAAAAAGGGAGTGGAGACTCTTCCCACGACTCTTCCCGCTCATTCTGTGAGGACAGCATAACTTTCTAGCCAACACATGGCAAGGATGTTACAAGAAGGGAAAGTTACAGGCCATTTTCTCTCATGAATATAGATACAAAAATCTTAAGCAGCAAAATATTAGCTAATCGACGACAGTGATATATAAAAAGAATATTACACAACAAAAGTTGTATTAATTCCATGAATGTTATGGTGGTTTAACATGAAAAAACCAATCCGTGTAAATGTTGTAAGCACAGCCAGGATTTGTGTGAATCAGGTGTGGTTAGACGCACAGACACATAAGTGCCTGTCGTGGGGGAAGACGTTTGCACACTCACAGATTCCCCAGAAACAGGAGTAAGGCACCCCAGGCATGGCCACATGGGGATGTAGCAGGGTCCTTTAGGAGGCAGAGGGAGCTGGGAAACATGGGCTGAGCCTGTGTTGTGGTTTCTGTGGGGAGGAATGGGCAAGGCAGGGCAAGAAGGGTTAGGACCTGCCAGTCTGAGTAATTTCTGTGGGCTCTGGGACATAGGGGCAGTTCCTCGCTGTTGGTACCTGCCCTGGGGTGAGTAGGGCAGGTGCACAGGGTCCAGAATATGAGAGCCCAGTAAGGAGGCAGCTGGGGCCTGGGCTCTGGGTTGGTTGGTCTGCAGAGGAAAGGTGAGCTCGAGAGCATCTGTGACTGTGTCTGAGAATGAGCCAGCCTGGGAGGGGCGGTCCTTCCAGGATCAGTAAGGCCCCAGTGTGTCCAGGCACCAAATGCAGAAAACAAAAAAGCATGATTAACACAGTAAATCAAAATATGAGCAGTAGAAAAGGGGAAAACATGATCTTCTCAAAGGATGCAGAACTGCCATTTAGTGACATTCAACACCCATTCACAATCAAGCTTATAGTAAGCTAGGGATGGAAAACAACTTCTATTTTCCACTGCCTATACTTTTGTGTACACTTGAGATTTTCCTTAATAAATGTTTAAAGTTGCTTATGCATCTAGAATAAGACTAATAAAGATGTGCAAAGAGCCCATGCCACAAAACATTGCTGAGGGAAATCACAGAAGCTCAATGGAGGGATAGATCATATTCATGGGTTTCGACACTCCACGTTGTAAGAATGTCCGTTCTCACCAAAACGGTCTGTAGGTCCAACGCAGCTGCAATCAAAATCCCTGCAGAACTTTTGTAGAAATTGCTTATTCTGAAAACTGTATAAACATGTAAATAGCCAGGTAGAGTCAAGATGATCTTAAAGAAAATAGAAGTTACCAGATAGTAAGATTTATTTTTAAAACACAGCATTTAAGAGAGTTGGTATTGCCACAAAGATAGGCAGTAGACAAAATAGAAAAAAGAATCTAGGAACACATATTCTATTTTATAGAACAAAGTATTGCCTGATTAAACAAAATAAAAGAAAAAAAGAAAGAAAAGAGAGTCAAAAAGCAACCAGCTTGAAGCCAAACTAGTTAGAAATAATAGTGACCATCGCCAAGGACTCTTTCGGCACCATGCCAGACACCGTGATAAGAGAGCTGCGTGGTCTTCTCACTCACTCCCCCAGCCATGACAGGGCCATTACAATCCCCACTTAACAGACCACTTAACAGACTACCCCACTTAACAGACTACTATCTATATAGTGACTATATGCTACTATGAACAGACTACTATCTATATACTACTATCCCCACTTAACAGACTACTATCTATAGAGTAACTATATGCTACTATGAACAGACTACTATCTATATAGTAACTATATACTGCTATGAACAGACTACTATCTATAGAGTAACTATATACTGCTATGAACAGACTACTATCTATATACTACTATCCCCACTTAACAGACTACTATCTATATAGTGACTATATGCTACTATTAACAGACTACTGTGTATATACTACTATCCCCACTTAACAGACTACTATCTATATAGTAACTATATACTACTATGAACAGACTACTATCTATATAGTGACTATATGCTACTATGAACAGACTACTATCTATATACTACTATCCCCACTTAACAGACTACTATCTATAGAGTAACTATATACTACTATGAACAGACTACTATCTATATGCTACTATCCCCACTTAACAGACTACTATCTATATAGTGACTATATGCTACTATGAACAGACTACTATCTATATACTACTATCCCCACTTAACAGACTGCTATCTATAGAGTAACTATATACTACTATGAACAGACTACTATCTATAGAGTAACTATATACTACTATGAACAGACTACTATCTATAGAGTAACTATATACTGCTATGAACAGACTACTATCTATATACTACTATCCCCACTTAACAGACTACTATCTATAGAGTAACTATATACTGCTATTAACAGGCTACTATCTATATAGTAACTATCTACTGCTATGAACAGACTACTATCTATATACTACTATCCCCACTTAACAGACTACTATCTATATACTACTATCCCCACTTAACAGACTACTATCTATATAGTAACTATATGCTACTATTAACAGACTACTATCTATATAGTGACTATATGCTACTATTAACAGACTACTATCTATATACTACTATCCCCACTTAACAGACTACTGTCTATGTAGTGACTATATACTGCTATGAACAGACTACTATCTATATGCTACTATCCCCACTTAACAGACTACTATCTGTATAGTAACTATATGCTACTATTAACAGACTACTATCTATATGCTACTATCCCCACTCAACAGACCCCACTTTCTGGGCCAGAGGCACAGAAAGGCAGGTGAGATAAAGCAGTTTGCTCGGCCACACAGCTGCCAGTGGTGGAGCTGCAGTCCACATCCAGGTAGTCTGACTGGAGAGCTAATTGTTAACAATTTCAGATACTGACAAGTGCTATGAAGAAAACAAAACATTCTACTTGAGGAGCGTTTACTTAAAAAAAAAAACAAAATAAAATAAAATGGGGTCATTCATGTGCCAGGAAGAGGCTGGTGAGGGAGCCTCGGGAGAACTGTACATCAAGAGCATCCCCAAGGGTGACTCATTAGGATCAACATCCAGTGGGGCTGAGAGCAGCAGCAGCGAGTGTTATCTCAGAGACAGACCCACAGCAAGACAGGAGATGTGCACAGGTCACAGACCGGCCTAGGGGAAGGAGACGGGCCAGCCCTGAGTCTCACCCTCTGCTGGTTCCCAGCTGCTACTTCAGGATTTGCTACCTCAGGGCTGGGCACAGCAGGGAGGAGAGTGAGCAGAGGGAAATGAAGAGTCTCATGGGGCTGACCCCCTTGGGTCTTTGGAGTTGCCCAGCCAAATGTTGGTCTTCCTTCCAAAGACTCTGTGTGTGAGCTCTCCCGGGCCCCCATCTGCCACGCACCATCCCCACAAGGTGGACGGCCCTCAGCTTTTCAATGGCCCTGCTGGGCTGGCCAGCCTGGACTCTCAGACCACCAGCCCGAAAGATTTGATCAAATATGCCTGTATCATTTACCAAGAAACTCTACCCCGCTATGTATCATATTTAAAAGCCAGCTTCATTATGTGCTATTTTTTTTTCTGGACTCTTATTTCTGTGGCTGGAGTACACGGTAGGTTCAAGCTCTCTTTCAAGATGGCTTAAGCCCAGCCAGCATCTGGGGTAGCCACTTAGCTCTCAGGAAGCACCGCCCACGTCCCTCCGTGGGCTCCCCTTTCACTCCACCATCCAGACAGCTCCAGCCACCCTCTCACACTCAGGTCTCCCTAAGCAAGCGTCGAGGAGCGGTTCCTGTGACCCCTCGTAATTCCCAGGCCCCTCCACAGGCCTGAGAGTGTGTGGGATGCACACCGCCTGACACCTCCCTCAGGAAGTCCAGGTTCTACAAGTCTCAGCTGTATGGCACTCCTTCTGACCTGTCGCATCTTTGTTTTCTCTCTTTTTCAAAATATGTTAAAATTTTCATTGTGGTTTCTTATTTAACTCCTGGGTTATCTAGAAGATTATTACCTCATTTCTGGGTGTATGTGTTTTCTAATTATTCTCTTCATTAATTAACTCCTAGCTTAATCAGAACCTGATCAGATTTAAGTGCTCTAAAATAATTTGGGACTTGATTTATGGCCCAGTGTGTGATCAGTTTTGGCACCTGTTCTGTGTGCACTCGGAGAAAATGTGTGTTTTGTAGTAGTTGGGTGCAATTTTCTATAGATGTCCACAGATCAATTTGCTACTCAAATTCTTCAAATTTTCTATATCCTTACTGATATTTTAGTTACCTTGTTCTAAAATAACTAAGACAATTGTGCTAAAATCTCACATTATTTTTGTGAACTTGTCTATTTCCACTTTTTTTTTTTTTTTTGAGACGGAGTCTCGCTGTGTCGCCCAGGCTGGAGTGCAGTGGCGCGATCTCAGCTCACTGCAAGCTCCGTCTCCCGGGTTCACGCCATTCTCTTGCCTCAGCCTCCCGAGTAGCTGGGACTACAGGCGCCCCCCACCACACCGGCTAATTTTTTGTATTTTTAGTACAGACAGGGTTTCACTGTGTTAGCCAGGATGGTCTCGATCTCCTGACCTTGTGATCTGCACACCTCAACCTTCCAAAGTGCTGGGATTATAGGCGTGAGCCCCCGTGTCTGGCCTATTTCCACTTTTAGTTCCGTCAAATTTCCCTTTGTATATTTGAGGTTATATATGTACATGTGTATATACATATTGTTGCTGTATCTTCTTGGAGGGTTGATCCTTTTGTGAAATACCTTTTCTTCCAGTTTAGCTTAATGCTTTTACGTCTGCTTTGCCTGAATTTAGCATTGACTTCATCACATTTGTTGTTATTGTTGGCTGGGTATGTATTTGTCCCTCCTTTTGTTTTATACCTGTTAATATCCTAAATTTTAAGAGCAAATATTAATATTTTTTAAAAAATTGAGCCTGATATCTTCATCTCTTTTTTTTTTTGAGATGGAGTCACGCCTGATTACAGGCATGAGCCACTGTGCCTGGCCCATCTCTTATTTGATGTATTTAGTCCATTTACATTTAATGTACATGTAATGTCTGGATCAGTTTGCCAGGGCTAACTTATCATAGTACCACAGACGAAGTGGCTTAAACAATAGAAATTTATTTTCTCAGAAGGAAACAAGTCAATTTGGATTAGGGCCCACCCTAAGAGCCTCATTTTAATTTAATCACCTCCATTACACCCATCACCAAATATAGTCACATTTGGAGGTACTGAGGATTAGGGCTTCAATATATAAATTTTGAGGGATATAATTAAGCTCATACCAATATCTGATATATTTAGGTTTAAATCCATAATCTTACTATTTGATTTTTACTTGTCCTACTTTGCTTATCTTTCTCTCCCTGCCTTTTTTGGGGGCACTTAGGAGAGGAACTAAGAAAGTGATATTTGGTCAGGTGCGGTGGCTCATGCCTGTCATCTCAGCACTTTGGAAGGTCGAAGCAGGAGGATGACTTGACTCTAGGAGTTTGAGACCAGCTTGGCTAACATGGTGAAACCCCCTCTCTACTTAAAATACAAAAATTAGCTGGGCGGTGATGCAGGCCTATAATCCCAGCTACTCAGGAAGCTGAGGCAGGAGAATCACTTGAGTCCAGGAGGCGGAGGTTGCAGTGAGCTGAGATTGTACCACTGCACTCACTCCAGCCTGGGTGACAGAGCGAGACTCTGTCTCAAAGAAAAAAAGTGGTATTTGCCATTTATTTCTTCTTTCTCTAATAACTTAGTTATTTTCTTTATTCTTTAAGTGGCGACCTGGAAATTACAAGCCACATACCTCACTTACTGGTGCCTCATATAAAGATGTATTTTTGCTACTTCCTGGCTTTCACGAGGACCTTAGAACGCGTTAGTTCCCCACCACTCCGCCTTCTTTGTCGTTGTTTTTATGCAGTTAGATTCTACACATATCTCAAACCCCACGCAGCCTCACTAACCTGATTTGATATTGTCAATATGCAGATGGATTCACTCACACATTTACCCTTTCTGTTGTTCTCCAGACCCCTCTTTGCATGTCCATCCTCTGGGATCATTTTCCTTCTGCTTCTGCTTGTAGAATTCCTTTTAGGGTTTTGTATTTTGCTCTTTGTTTTGGTTCCTTTTTTCATTTTTGTGGTTTTGTTTTGTTTTGGTGCAAATCTTCTGACAGAAAATACTCTAAAAGTTTTTGTTTGCATGAATTCATCTTTATTTGCCTTCATCTTAAAATAATATTTCTGTTGGAACTATAATTCTATGTGGGCAGTAATTTTATTCCAAGACGTTAAGGGTGCCATGTTAGCTTTCATCACTGTTGTGTGTGTGTGTGT
This sequence comes from Homo sapiens, assembly GCF_000001405.40. Classification (NCBI taxonomy): domain Eukaryota; kingdom Metazoa; phylum Chordata; class Mammalia; order Primates; family Hominidae; genus Homo; species Homo sapiens. The sequence goes on along the minus strand of NC_000005.10, from coordinate 181,135,258 downwards.
GTGTGTGTGTGTGTTGAAAAGCCTGCTGTTAGTCTTCTTGTTGCAGTGTGTGTGTGTGTGTGTGTGTGTTGAAAAGCCTGCTGTTAGTCTTCTTGTTGCACTTTTTAATGTACTTTGTTTTTTCTTCTGGATACTGCTAACACTTTTCTGTTTGTTTTGCTTCTCAGCTGTAATGCTGTGGTGAGCCTAGCTTGGACTTCTTTGTATTCTTCTTGCTATTAGTTAACAGAGTTTCTTAATCTGTGACTTGATCTCTTTCATCACTTTAAAAAATTGCTCCACCCATATTTTTTTCTTTCTTTTCTTTCTTTTTTTTTTTAATTGAGACAGGGTCTCACTCTTTTGCCCAGGCTGGAGTGCAGTGACACAATCTTGGCTCACTGCAGCCTCAGCCTCCTGTGCTTAAGTGATCCTCCTGCCTCAGTCTCCCAAGCAGCTGGGTCCACAGGTGCCCACCACTGCACCTGGCTAATTTTTAAATTTTTTGTAGAGATGGGGTCTCTCTATTTTGCCCAGGCTGGTCTCCAACTCCTGGCCTCAAGTGATCCTCATGCCTTGGCCTCCCAAAGTGCTGAGATTACAGGCATCAGCCATGAGACCTGGCTTTTACCACCCCTCGGCTTCCATCTATATCTTTTAAAAATATTGTTTCCATCCTGTTCTTTCCTGCCCCTCTACTTTTGGGACTCCAGCAGCACTGAAGTGAGACCTTGCTATGCCCGTGTGTTTCTCACCCTCCCTTCCATGGTTTGTATTCTCTTCTCTCTGTGTTTCAGCCTTGGTTTTGTCTGTTGACCTCTTACTCAGTTCACTAACTATCTGTGTCTAAACTATTGCCAAATCTATCTATTGAGTTGTTTATTTAGTTTTTGATACTTTCAGTTCTAGAGTTTCGTTTTATTCTTTTCAAAGGTTACAGGTGTCTGGTGAAATTATCCGTCTTGGTTTTTTTCTCTCGAGCATCGTGATAACAGTTAATTTAAAGCTCATGAATGGCAACGCCAGTCTGGATCTCCTTTAAGTTTGTTTCTTTTTTGTCTTTTTGAATTTGGTCATTTTATCCTGTCCCTAGAATGCCTGGTAATTTTTTCTTGAATGGCAGACAAATGATGCGAATAATCTGAAGCTGTGGGTAATATCCTTTTCTTCTAGAGAAGATTTACCGTTCCTTATGTGGGGCAGCTAGATGAGCAGCTGGTTTCCTTAAGCCAGTCTGTGGCTGATGCGTGTGAACCTGTGGCTGATCCGCGTGAAGCTGGGTTCAGTCTTTGTGAGAATTCTCTATTTCTGATTAATAATTACTCTTAGTGTGTAGTGTTCCTGGGGTCCTAGCTGGAGGTCAGGGTGTTTTTGAGGTCTCTAAACCCAATTTCTTCCCTCCCAGATCTGTGAGATGACAAGAGGCTTCGCTCAGCTTCCCAGCCTCTGGGCCCTGTGCCAGGGATGAGTCAGCAAATGCCTGGAGAGGAAAAGCACCACCCAATGTCCAGCTCAGCCGAGAACACATCCCCGGGTCTCAGACCCTTGAGTCGTGGCTGTTTCCGCATCTTTATAATCACTTATAAAATATTTCATTTTTAGATTTTATCCAATTTCTCCAATTGTTCTTATCATGAAAGTTGTTCTTATACAAACTAGTCCACAGTGGCTGAAATTTTTTTACTTTTTGATATAATTTTGATTTTTAATTGTATGAAACATGTACTGAAGTCCAATTATAAAATAAAGCACACTTACAGATGTGTAGTTTTAGCGAGGAGTGGCGGCTCTTGCCTGTAATCCCAGCACTTTGGGAGGCTGAGGAGGGTGACTGCTTGAAGCCAGAAGTTTGAGACCAGCCTGGGCAACATAGCAAGACTCATCTCTACAAAAAATTAAAGAATCACCCGGGTGTGGTGGCATGCTCCTGGGGTCCTAGCTGCTCAGGGGCTGAGGCAGGAGGATCTCTGGAGCTCAGGAGAGTGCCCTTGCCTCAGGAGTTGGAGGCTGCAGTGAGCCATGTTGGCACTGCTGCACTCCAGCCTGGGCCACAGAGCAAGACCCTGTCTCTTAAAAGAAAAAAAAAACCTAGTTTCTGTCTCTGTCTCGTACACACATTTCTTCCCTCCTGCTATGTGGAACCGTATTTATTAGTTTGCAATTATCCTTTTATAGTTGATTTTGAAAATGTAAAAAACAACCTTGTCCATAGATTTCCTCCTTTCTCACGGCAGAAGCAGCAGGCTGTGTTCTGTTCTGCACCATGCTTTTTCCCTCCTTACCTCCTGAAGATCCCTCCAGTGTAGAAGAAGAAACACTTGATGTTCTTTTTACAGTCGTACGGCACTCTGTTATGTGGATACATTACAGTTTACTCAACCAGTGTGGAGTGACCTTCCAGGTTCTTGTTATAGAGCATTTTAGACACACCTAAAACCTGGAAGCATCGTATAATGAACTTCTCTGCACTCACCACCCGGTGCTGGCAATTGGCAGCTCAGGGTCAACACCGTTCCGTCTACTCCCCACCCACCTCTCCCTCTCCCCTTCACAACTGGATTATCTACAAATAAGTTTCAGAAATCACATAGTTTCCTCAGTAAATACATCAGTAAGTTTCTCTAAAATATCAAGAATAAAACATAATAATAGGATGAGCATTTAAGAAGAATTCTTAACAGAGAAACATCAATAATGACATTTCCTGGACATTTATGTGACAGCTGCTGCTTTCATTTTAGTACAAAAATTAGGGGAGGTTGAAAATTTGAATGTCCTAGACAATAATTTTTTTTTTTGAGACAGGGTCTGGCTCTGTTGCCCAGGCTGAAGTGCAGGGGTGTGATCTCAGCTCACTGCAGCCCTGACCTCATGGGCTTAAATGATCCTCCCACCTCAGCCTCCAGAGTAGCTGGGACCACAGACACGCACCACCGTGCCAGATTAAACATTTTTAAATTAAGATACTCATGTAAAAGACAGTGCTTCTATTTATGCAGGGCAGTTCTCCAAATAAATCAGTTCAGACATCCTAGTAACTTATTTGAGAAAAACGGACATTTCAAAGAGTATCCCCACCTCCCTTAAAATCTGAAAGGACACATAATATGATTGCTGTTAGCAGACTCTTCTCCCTTCTCTACTGTGGGACTCCAAGCCCCAAGTTAGTCTTGATTTAGGCTGTGTCAAGGGGACCAACACTGAATTGAATGTGAGATTCAAATTTTGATTTTCAATGGACTGGATTTTAGAATATATAAATGAGCCTTCGTCTTACCACCCAAAGTCACCAGAAAACTCTTGATCTGCATGAGATGTCATGAAGATGTGGAGAATGAATTGTGATGTCTTATTTAAAAGCAGTGGCTGTACAAAAATAAAAGTGTTTCCTTGTTTGCACATGATCAAAAGTTCCCCCTGAATAATACGATAAAAGGCAATACAAGAGCTGTCAGCAGGCCATGGACATACGCTGCCAGAGTGTAGACAGGAAGCCATGGCCGGCGGAGGTCATGGTGGATTGAGTTCCGGAGGAATCTGAATGGAGGTGGGCTTGAGCTCGGTCTTGGGGAATTAGATAAGGCTGAAGAGTAACAGAGGAAGAAGACAGAGGAAGTGCCGGTGGGGAGAAGTGGCTGGAGAAAAAGTGTGAGTGTGGAAAGCGTTGGGTGCATAGGAGGATAGAGGAGAAGGCCGGTGTGGGAGAGGAGTGGGAGACGCTGCAGGTCCAGTCCTCAAAAGCCAGCCTGCCCCACTCCAGCTGCGAGGTGGCCATTCCCTTCCTCCCTAGTCTACCTCTCTCTGCCCCGGTCTTCCTGTGTCTCCCTCATGGCCTCCTCGCCTGCATGTTCCTCAGACTCCTGCCATAGCTGGAAGCTGGATCAGGAAGAGGGCACACACCAAAAGTGTGGTAGCAAAGACACACAAGGAAGTCGAGATTCAGAAGGAACAAACGCCTCTGGTGTCTGAGCCATGTGGCAAGGGGATTTCAAGCACATTGGCCCCTGAGAAAATGGCCTGCTTCCATGGGACATAAATAGCCACAGAGTGACCATAAAATGCATCCTCCGATGTGAAATGCTCTTGAGAGTAAAAGGCAGTGGCAGCATCAGAACCGTGGACTTCAGCCCCATCCCCAGCAGCCCACGAAGACACTGACCCTGCAGAAACGCCTGTCAGGTTTATGAGGATCCCAACCAGGCCCCCAGGCTCCACCCGACTCTCGTGAAGGTGGGGCTGTTCTTTCCCTCCCACGAGGCTGTAGACCCCTTGAGCAAGGACTGTGTCCAGAGCCCCCCACCCAGTGCTTTGCATGTCACGGGTGATGTAGGCTGACTTAATGGGGGCAGGTGAAGGACAGGTGTGGGGTGCAGCGAGGGCCCAAGGGACAGCTGTGACATGGAGACCCCATGAGGGCCCTGGAGGTCGCTGGGAAGTGCTGATGTGTGTGTGGGGGGGCAATGTAGGGCACCAAGAATGTCCTCCGCATTCCTGTATTCCTCTGCCCTGCGTTCCTCCTCCCCCAGCTGGGTTTCCTCACGCTGTCCCCACTGGCCCTGCTCCTGTTCCTGTCCCCAGGTCCCTCTGTGGGTCTTTTTAATTGTAATCTTGGGAGCACCTCTTCCAGGGCTGGAGTCTGTGGGGTCCCCTGGGAGCTGAGGTCTGAAGTCAGCTTCCCCTCTTCACCCCGTGTCTGGGTTCAGTACCTGTGTGGGCAGTGGGAGGCGGTTCTGCCACCTGGCCAGAGCCAGGGTGTCCTGGAGGCAGGTGGGAATCCTGGGTGGGCTCAGGGCACTGCTCCTGGCTCCACCTCTCCTGCCAGCACCAGCTCCTTCCCTGAGCCTGTTTCTCCCTCTGAGAGGAGGCTGTGGTCTGTGTGAGCCTTGCTCTCTGAGCCTGAGGGGCCACTGGAGGCTGAGGGTGCCGTGGGCTCCACAACCCGATGAGTAGTCGGTGCGGGCTGAGGAAGGAGGTTGGGGCTGCGGCTCCTCCTGTCCCCCGACCCAGTGGGAGCAAACACAGGAGGATGAGTGCATGGCTCTGACGCTAGGAACTCCTCCACAGGTGACTCTGCTGAGTTTGTTCCCCTGCAGGGACCCACCCACAGGTGAGTGAGGGTCTTGTCCTGTCGTCCCCTCTCTCTTCCCTGCAGCTCCTGCTCCCATTGCTGGTTCACGTCCCCATTTATCTTGTTCATCAGCACTTGCTCTTCCTCCTGCTGTCTGCCTCCATCAGGGTGTAACTGTTTCGTGTGGGTGTTTGGAGGGGCATCCGTCTTCTGGTGTGATGTTTCTCCTCACTCTTTCTTCTCGTTCTCTTCCTTTGACCCACCTCTCTCTCTTTCCTTGGTGTCCTACTCCCCTTTTCCCGTCCCCCTCCCTCTGTCTGGGTTGGAGACTGGGCTCTAGGTCCCTGGGGTGGAGGATGGTCCACAGCAGGAAGACAAGGACAGATGTGTGGGGAGTGCGAAGGTGAAGGAGCAGGAAGGAGGGGGCTGATGTGGGACGGGGTCCTCCCGTGCCGGGGAGAATATTGCAGAGATGCAGTGGCTTCTTCTATGTTGTGGTTTCTAGGAAGAAAAGTGAAGCCATTAACTAAACACCCAACGGAAAGGTCTGAAATTAGAGAGCAGGAAGATAAGCCAGTGAGAGGCAAGAATAAATTCTGTTGTGTTTCATAATACAATTTTTTTTTTCTGAGACAGGATCTTGCCGTCTGTGTCCTGAGAGGCACAAGTGGCTGGTGCCTCTGAACATGGTGGTAAGGCTGGGAGACCGTTCTTCTGCTGGGGCATCTGGTGTATTTTGCTGGTTGATATGGCTGAGAGGGTGCTTGGTCGCTGTGGGAACAGATTTGCTCCTGTAGAAACCCCCTCCAAATCACACAATGTCATAGCTCTATCATTCAGGCTGGAGTGCAGTGGTGTGATCGTAGCTCACTGCAGCCTCAAATTCCTAGGCTCAAGTGATCTGCCTCAGTCTTCCAAGTAACTGGAACTACAGGTGCACACCACCACGCCCAGGTAATGTTTTATTTTATTTTTATTTTGGAGACAAAGCTCGCTCTGTCACCCAGGCTGGAGTGCAGTGGCGTGAACATAGATCACTGCCAGCTTGAACTTTCAGGCTCAAACGATCCTTCCACCTCAGCCACCTGAGTAGCTGGGACTACAGATGTGTGCCACAATAGCCTGGCTAATTTTCTCTGTTTTTTGAATAGAGATGAGGTCTCGTTTATGTTGCCCAGGCTGGTCTCAAACTCCTACCTCGAGCTATCCTTCTGCCTCAGCCTTTCAAAGTTTTGGAATTACAGGTGTGAGCCAGGGTACTTGGCCAACAAAATTTTTATGCATTCAACAAATATTGACTGAGCTCATAACAGATGTGCCAGACCCTGTTCCGGGAGCCAGGGATCCCACCACGAGCACCCGTGGCACCGGGGAACACGGGTTCTAGTTGGGAAAGCAGAGAACAGACACCCACATGAGCAGCCTGGGGCCTGCCTTGCATATATGCCTGCTGTGGGAACCAAGGCAGGGAAGGGAGGCAGAAGAAGAAGGATTTCAGCTCTAAATGGGTGCTGAGGGAAGGCTTTGCTGAGAAGGCGAGGAGGAGGTGAGGGAGCAAGGCAGGGCCAGTCTGGGAAGAGCCTTCTGCACGGAGGTGAGAGAAAGTGTCCAGGCCCCCTGGAGCTGGCCTTGTCCTGCCGTGTGGGAGCAGCTCCAGGAGGCAGGGAGACCGGCATGGAGGGAATCCCGGGAGAGTGGAAGGAAAGGCGTGGGTGGTGGTGGAGGGCTGCTGATGAGTCTTGCATTTCCTCTGGAAGTACTTTGGCTTTATTCCTGCAGAGATGGGTCCACCCCAGGACTACGTGACAAATAGACCAGGTTGGGCTGGGGTGTGCCAGCGTAGACTGGGAGGCAAATGCAGTTGGGGCCGTTGCCATCCTCCAGGGACACTCTAGAGGTGGTGTGGCCAGGTGGGAGCTGGCAGGGATGCGTGCTGGCTGGGGGGTATGTTTTGCAAGGGGAGCCAGCAGGGGTTTCTGATGTTTGGGGCGTGTGTGTGTGTGTGTGTGTGTGTGTGTGAGGAGAGGACAGGAGTCCAGGATGATGCGAGTGTTGTGACCTGTCAATCTGGACAGATCTGCCACTCACTGAGCTGAGAGCGGGAGAACAGGCGTTTCTCCAGGGGAGAGCAGGTGGTCTGTTTGGCCACTTCGGGTGGAACAAGCCCGTGACACAGCTGAGGGGAGAGGTTGAGTGCACAGTGGGTGTAAGAGTCTGAGTGCAAAGGAACCATGCAGGATGGAGGGAGAAGTGGCATCAGTCAACCATGCAGTATTGTAGTTTAAGAGACTGGGGGAGGGGGGAGTGGGACGTGCATGTCCTGGGAGGTGCCTGTGGCTGGTGCCTCTGGACACGGTGGTAGGGCTGGGCATCCCTTCTTCTGCTGGGGGATCTGGGGGAACCTGGTTTGTTTCGCTGCTGGGTGGAACCTGCGGCTGGTGTGGCTGAGATGGTGCTTGGTCGCTGTGGGAATAGATCTCTCCTGTAGAAATCCCCTCCACATCACTCCAGGGGTCATCAGTGGCAAGGACCCCGGGAACTCCCTCCTGGGCATGAACCAGGACAAGCTCCCTGACCTAGGGCCACAGATCAAGCAGCCATCTCCAGGGTCCTGGGCCTGGGCAGGCCCATCCCAGTTTAGGAAATTCCCCGGGGTCCTGGCACAGAGAGCGTGGTGTCCCGTGGAGCAGCCTCATTTAACGCTGCAGTGAGGTAAGGTGGACGTGAATGCACCTGCACGCAGAGGCCTTACAGATAAACAGCCGCCCATGTGTGGAGCAGGTCCTCGTCTTTGTAAGCATCTGAAGATGTTTCTTCCATTTTCACTCACTGTCCCTGGTAGAAAAGAATCACACAGCAAACTCCTGTGACACTCAGACCAAGGCCAATGAAGCAGGAGCCTTTCTGCAGAAAATGGAAATTGCAGCCACATGTCACTCCATCACATATTATTTTGTTCAGTCACCATGTCTGGGTTGAGGTCCCGCTATGAGCCAGGCACCATTCTGGGGGCTGCCAACGTCATGGTGAACAGAAACATGCTTTCATTCTGGTGGATCTCACAGACGGGGACGGTCCAAATACGGGAGCCTGTGGGTGTCAGATGGCACCAGTGCCGTGGAGAAACGGCAGCAGGAAGGGGCCTGGGAGAACGAGACATTCAGCGTTTTCATCCGGCTTCCACGGAACACCTCTCTGTGAAGACTGGCATTTGAGGAAAGACAGGAAGCAGGGAGGGAGGGGGACCTGGGGAAGAGCATTCCACCGAGGAAAACCAGCAAAGGATGGAGGTGCGGGCACCAGGCCCAGGAGACCCCCGGAAGCTCTGCGAGCAAGGGAGGGGCCCGAGGGGACCTCAGAGGGACGTGCGGGGTGTGTGTGTATTTCCGTGTGTCCATGTGTCTGGGTGTGTAACTGTGTCTATGTGTGTCTGTGTATATGTCTGTATTTGTGTATGACTCTGTGTGTGTGTGTGTATGTCTCTGTGTTTCTGTATATGGATGTATGTGTGCTTATGTGTTTCTGTGCGTGTCTGTGCATATCTTTCCATGTCTGTATGTCTCTGGGTGTGTATCTGTGTGTGTGTCTTTGTTTATATGGCTGTGTGTGTGACTCCGTGTATCTATGTGTTTCTGCATGTGTATTTTCATGTGTATATGTGTGTGTCTGTGTATTTCCATGTGTCTGTGTGTGTGTCTATATGTCTGTCTGTGTGTGTGTCTATGTGTGTATTAGTGTCTGTCTGTGTGTCTCTGTGTGTGTGTGTGTGTGTGTGTGTGTGTGTGTGTGTGGTGTGTGATGTAGGGCTTTGCTTGCCACTGTAAGAACTGGGCTTTATTTGGAGTAATTTGGGATGTCATTGACCTACTTTCACTAGGAAAGTTACACAAATGCTTTACATCTTAGCAGACTCTCTGCAAATGCTGTGACAATAGACTCAAGAGTTCAAGGATAGAAGCTGGGAGACCAGGGAAGAGGCTACAATAACCCATCAGAAAAAGGAGGGTGGCTGGGACCAGGGTAGTTTTGGTGGAGGTGGGAAAAGCGAATTAGATTCTGAGAAACACTGAGGGTATGGGCCAAGGGGCTTTTCTGATGGTTTGGACCTAGGGAATTAAAGAAATAGAGAAGTTGAAAATGGTCCCAGGATTTTTGACCTGAACAAAGTAAAGACTAAAGAACATCTCACGTTGCCATGATCTTTCCTTTTTTTTCTTTTTTTAATTGAAATGGAGTTTCGCTCTTGTTGCCCAGGCTGGAGTGCAATGGCACAATCTCGGCTCACTGCAACCTCCACCTCCTGGGTTCAAGCGATTCTCCTGCCTCAGCCTCCCGAGTAGCTGGGATTACAGTCATGCGCCACCACGCCTGGCTAATTTTGTACTTTTAGTAGAGACAGGGTTTCTCCATGTTGGTCAGGCTGGTCTTGAACTCCCAACCTCAGGTGATCCACCCGCCTCAGCATCCCAGAGTGCTGGGATTACAGGCGTGAGCCACCGCGCCCAGCTTGATCTTTCCTTTTTGTAACACATGTAATGATCTCTCAGGCATGAAATAGACCAAGGCATGTTAGAGACAGTTGACCAAATCCATGTGACCCCAGCTAAGAGGCAGTGCCATGTGGAAAGCCTGGGCTTTGCTGGCCAAAAGAGAATTGTCCAACAGTCCTGGGTCTCATGAAATGATCCTATGTCCACTCTCTGGGTATGGATATGCACAAATACAGATGTGTAGTCCAATTCCAGAGCTGGCAGAGGTCCTGTCACCTGTGTCACAGGAATACGAGTGTCCTCCTGCATCTCTCAGAGCATACGCTGTTGAACTGAAGAATTTGGAGCACAATAGAGACATGTCACTCAATCTTATAATTTCTCTTATGTTCTCAGGTGACAGTGAACAACTAAGCCATGGGAAGATGGGTGAACCAGTCCTACACAGATGGCTTCTTCCTCTTGGGCATCTTTTCCCACAGCCAGACTGACCTTGTCCTCTTCTCTGCAGTTATGGTGGTCTTCACAGTGGCCCTCTGTGGGAATGTCCTCCTCATCTTCCTCATCTACCTGGACGCTGGACTTCACACCCCCATGTACTTCTTCCTCAGCCAGCTCTCCCTCATGGACCTCATGTTGGTCTGTAACATTGTGCCAAAGATGGCAGCCAACTTCCTGTCTGGCAGGAAGTCCATCTCCTTTGTGGGCTGTGGCATACAAATTGGCTTTTTTGTCTCTCTTGTGGGATCTGAGGGGCTCTTGCTGGGACTCATGGCTTATGACCGCTACGTGGCCGTTAGCCACCCACTTCACTATCCCATCCTCATGAATCAGAGGGTCTGTCTCCAGATTACTGGGAGCTCCTGGGCCTTTGGGATAATAGATGGAGTGATTCAGATGGTGGCAGCCATGGGCTTACCTTACTGTGGCTCAAGGAGCGTGGATCACTTTTTCTGTGAGGTACAAGCTTTATTGAAGCTGGCCTGTGCAGACACTTCCCTTTTTGACACCCTCCTCTTTGCTTGCTGTGTCTTCATGCTTCTCCTTCCCTTCTCCATCATCATGGCCTCCTATGCTTGCATCCTAGGGGCTGTGCTCCGAATACGCTCTGCTCAGGCCTGGAAAAAAGCCCTGGCCACCTGCTCCTCCCACCTAACAGCTGTCACCCTCTTCTATGGGGCAGCCATGTTCATGTACCTGAGGCCTAGGCGCTACCGGGCCCCTAGCCATGACAAGGTGGCCTCTATCTTCTACACAGTCCTTACTCCCATGCTGAACCCCCTCATTTACAGCTTGAGGAATGGGGAGGTGATGGGGGCACTGAGGAAGGGGCTGGACCGCTGCAGGATTGGCAGCCAGCACTGAACCCCAGAGTCTGGTGCCTGCTGTGCCCCTTCTTGCCTGTGTCACATTGGGAAGTCACTCAACCTTTGTGAGTGTCTGTTTCCATTCACCTGTTGATGGTCATTGGATGGTTTATAGGTTTTGGCCATCATGAGAAAAGCCATTATGAACATTTCTGTACCAAAAAAAAAGGAAAAAAAGATAATCAGGACACTCGTGCTCTGAGGGATTTTGTAAAGATCACAATGTGTCAATCTAAAGCTCCATGAAGAAGCAACGGCTGCTATTATTGTCATTGTTGATTGTTTATGACATCCTTGGACTAAATTTACTCTATTTTTTATTTTCTTTATTTTATTTTTTGTGTTTTTCTGCCCTTTAGTGCTATATTTCTTAATTCTTCTTGGTAATAGCTGTCTTTTATTGGATGCTTACTAAGTTCTAGGTTCCTGTTCCTTTTCTATTCTTTCTAAATTATTTAATTGATGACTTAGACTAACAAATGTGGATATCTTAAGTGGAAACTTTCTAAATGGCAGAAATTGAGTCCCTATAACTCTTTTTGGACAGTTCTTTGCCTTTTTCTATGTTCAATTAGAGGCTTTATAAAACCTCCTTTAAGTAATAAAAATAAATCCCTGCAGTTTAGTAGTTATCCTCGTGGGGGGAATATCTTGTTTTTTTGTGTGTGTTATGAAAGGAGGATATCTTGGGCCCCCAAAATCACGAGGATAAAGGGAAAAGTCAAGGTGGGAACTGCTCAGGGCAAACCTGCCTCCCATTCTTTCAAAGTCAGCCCTCTGCTCACTGAGATCGATGCAGCTTCTGATTGACTCCTTTGGAATGTCTCATCGGAAACTCAAAAGACTGCAACCATTTGTCTCTCACCTACCTGTGACCTGGAAGCCCCCTCCCTGCTTCGAGCTGTCCCCGCCTTTCTGGATGGAACCAGTGTATTTCTTACATACATTGATTGATGTCTCATGTCTCCCTAAAATGTATAAAACCAAGCGTGCCCTGACCACCTTGGGCACGTGTCGTCAGGACCTCCGGAGGGCCGCGTCACGGGTGCACGTCCTCAACCTTGACAAAATAAACTTTCTAAATTAACTGATATCTGTCTCAAAGGTTGGGGGTTCACAGTGTATTACCAGTACCAGACCCTGTGCCTTATAAGTAGCAGTTGCTCAATAAAACATTATTGAATGAATGCAAGAAGAGAGCATCAAGTGAGGTAATATAAATGGAAGCATTTTAAAAGCACTGTTCACATGTCAAGTTTGCTGTGGCAGCTGTGATTCATTTTAGCACTTCAAGTTCTTTAACGGTTTAAAACTGTATCTCTCTTGGAGCATGAAGACTGGAAAAGAAATAAGGAGATAAACTGAGCCATTATTTTGAAACTTATATATCAGTCAGGGTCCATTTAGGAACAAAATCACGTCAGTTATTTTAAGAGAAAGTTTAACATAAAGAATTGCTGGCCAGGCACGGTGGCTCACACCTGTAATGCCAGCCCTTTGAGAGGCTGAGGCAGAGGGATCACTTGAGGCCAGGAGTACAAGACCAGCCTGGTCCTAGCTACTGCAGTCCGAGCTACTCGGGAGGCTAAGGAGGGAGGACGGCTTGAGCCCAGGAGTTCAAGGCTACAGTAAGAGAACTGCACCACTGACTGCACTCTAGCCTGGGTGACAGAGCGAGACCCCGTGTCTAAAAAAACACAAAAATTAAACAAAATTGCTAACCAGATGTTGGAGAACTGAATGGCCAAAACAAGAACACTAGGGATCCTTGGAGCTCAAACATCTGGGGGCAGGCAGTGACCATGGCATCCCGAGCTCAGCAGAGGCCCTGGAGAAGCATCTCCCTGACCTTGGAGGGCTGCCTGGCCCTGCCTTGTGGTACCCCCGGAGCACGGGGGCCGGCGGGGGAGAAGAAGCGGCCTCCAAAGCTGGGCCCAGGCTTCCGAGGAGCAGCTGCTGTGTGGTTGCTCCTGACACTCTAGGTGTTCAGAGAGGGCCTCAGGTCCCGGCTGCTGACGCTTGGGGGCCAGTCGGCTGCTGCGTGTTTTTCTAAGGGCAGGATGAGACGAGTGCGGAAGTGTGAAAGTAAAATCTGCAGCATGGAGCCAACTTCCAGGATGAAGAAACATTGCTGGGACGATTTTGACAGGAAAAAACAGGAAGTCATGAGGATTGGTTTCTTTCCGCTCCTGCTGGCTGACAGCCTCCTTCTAGTGTCCTCCTGGCGGAGACTGATGGGCCCCGACAGCAAATCAGCCCTAGCAACACAATTCAGATGACAGGAGTGTGGGCTGCAGGCTGAGGCAACTGCTTAAAAGCGGGTGCAGGTCCCTCCTGTGGCCATTCAGTGTCCACACAGCATTTCACTCACAGCTGAACTTCCACTAAACAGCAGGGACATTTTGCTTTTCCTAAGAATGTGTCCGCGTCCACACACGCTGCCCTTTGGCAGCCGTGGCACCGCCTGTGGGCACTGTCATCCCTCATGTACAGTCACGGTCTTGACTGAACGGTGGGCACTGTCATCCCTCATGTACAGTCACGATCTTGACTGAACGGTAGCCTCCACCACCAGGGGTATGTAAAGCAATAAGAGGAGGGGGAGAGGACAAATTAGCTTCCACACAGGGACACACGCACACACACCCCAACATGGCAATTGATCATGAAGACATCATTGGTATTTAGAACCTTCTTCTTCACTTTGGATTCCCTATGTCCTTTGCCCCCGTCTTTCCAGGGTCTTGCTTCTGAACTGACACTGTAAAAGAGTTGGTATCGTAATGAGAACACCTGCTTCCGGGCGATGGACTAACACAGGACCTGTCAGCTCCACAGACATAAGCCCATCACTGCCCTTCTTCTGCTAGAAAACAAGTTCCTTGATCAGAAGAGATGCTGTGCAGAACACTCTGGGGTATCTGAGGCATTCTGCACATAGATGGCGGTGCTGTCAGATGTGCGTGGGCAGGGAAGGCAAATTCAAATCTAGAAAAGGTGTCTATCGCAGTGAGGTCAAATTGCTATGCCGTTCATGACAAAAGGGATCCAATATAAAAGCCTGCTTCTAGGAGGCTAGTAGCAAAAGGAAAGGTGCCATGTTGGGGCCCAGAATGAGTTTCTGCTGATGGAAGGTTGGCCACTCAGTGGTAGTGGTAACCAGGTCAGCTTGGTGAGGACCCATCCGTGTTGGTGCACCTGTGGATAACCTCTGTCCCTACAACCGCAACCACTTTGTCCATAGTCCACTGAGCAAGCATCTGAGTTGTTCCACAAAGCATGGTGTTCTATGGCATGTTAAGATGATTAAGATCTCTGTGGATTATATTGCGCAGGAGGAGAAACGATGGAGTCCTGAGGCAAGATTGTTGAGACGCACTGTTGTGGTCCTGGAATGCACACAGCTGCTTTTTGTGGGCCTTACAACTTGTTACAGAGGAAAAATAGTTTTTCATGTCAATAAGTGCATACTAGGGCCAGGGGTGGTGGCTCATGCCTATAAACCCAGCACTTTGGGAGGCCAAAGCAGGTAAATCACTTAAGGTCAGGAGTTCAAGGCCAGCCTGGCCAATATGGTGAAACCCCGTCTCTACTAAAAATACAAAAATTGGCCAGGCGTGGTGGTGGGCGGGCGCCTGTAATCCCAGCTATTCCGGAGGCTGAGGCAGGAGAATTGCTTGAACCCGGGAGGCGGAGGTTGCAGTGAGCAGAGAGTACACCATTGCACTCCAGCCTGGGCATCAGAGAGAGACTGGATCTCAAAAAAAAACAAAAAATCTGAATATTAGGTATAAAAAGCTATGCTGCTTTGTTCCACTAAGGATGAGCACATCTGTAACAGCCACTGTGGTTTGAGTCACCGTCTGATTAACTGCACAATAATGCACAGTAATTTTCCATCTGGGTCATGGGCAATAATTAATTTTAGAATTATTTTTAAATGAATATATACTGTAAGTCTTCTCAACCTTCACCCAAATGCATCTGTGATCATCTACTAGAGCAACCATGCATAGGAGAAGAAAAAATATTCAAAGCTTTTAGGAATTAAAATTATTCTCTATTAACTTTTTCAAAAAAAAAGTCCACCTGGAAAACCTGCTGATCAAACAAGGCCAAGTTTATTCCTTATGCAGTAAAGGTAAACACCACCATGACCACGTTCTGCAGTATTTCAGAAGTGGAAGATCAAGGGTAGATGTGTATGAGTGTTAGGATCTGGATTTGAGAAGTTGGAAGTGGCTTGGTGGGCATCAGATGTGAGGAGTCTTAATGAGAAAACAGTTGTCTGATAAGCAGTATTCTGGTTTTGTGCCACTGCACTCCAGCCTGGGTAACAAAGCGTAACCCTGTCTCAAAAACAGACAAACAAACAAATTACAGGATGAGAAGTGTGAGCCATCCTCCCCGGCTGAAATTTAAAATATTTTAATTTTTACAGATTGGGTCTTTCTTTGTTGCCCAGGCTGGAATGCAGTGGTGCAGTCATAGCTCTCTGCAGCATCAAACTCCTGGGCTCAAGTGATCCTCCCACCTCCGCCTTCCAGGTAGCTGGGATTACAGGCATGAGCCACCATGCCTAGCTTAAAGCAAGTTTTCATATTCACACAGGCAGGAAACACTGACCACCTGATTGGAATGAAGATTTGTCACATGTATGATGCAAAATCTCCCCATAAGTTGAATGAACAACTTGATGGGAAAGGATTTGGTAAGGAAGTTGGAAAAAAAAAAAACTTGCCTGTGAATATTTTAAACCATTATTATAGAAAACTTTAAGCATACACAAAAGGGAAGCAAGTATTACAAAGTCCCATGTCGCCTCACACGCAAAAGGTTCCCGGTTCAAAACCAGGCAGAAACGGCTCCTTCCGCTTTTTCCTTCATTACTTCGCATTTGTGACATTAGGGACTAGAACATCCCACTGCTATCTCCACCTGGTTACAGAGGCGCAAGGAGAAAAAGGCATCTACACCGTTGCCTTCCCACATCAGCCATCAGCACCTTTGAAGAACTGAGCCCACCTCACTTGCTGTGGACACTGCAAGGATGACCTCGGCACAGAGCCCGCCCACTCCACAGCTGCACGCTGCCAGATGGAATCCCAGACCTGCTCTGTGACTGCAGGTGAGCAGGGACCTTAGAGATCATTTAATTCACCCTCTCATTTTGTTGATGTGAAACAGGCTCAGAGATGGGAATGGCTGGCCTGTGGTCACAGAGCAGGTCCCTAAACTGTGCCCTGGACCCACGTTGGCACAGCCTCCAGGCCCATGCAACACTGGAACTGAATCCAAATGGATTTCCAAAGGGCAAAGGCAAAGCTAACCTGGTTGCTTCTCCTGGATTCATTGGAACAACCAGCCAAGCAGCCCCAGAAGATCACTTCCTTCCACCTTTTGCCTAAAGTGGCACAGGATGGTCCCATTTGTGAAACCCTCCAGAGCCTCCCTTTGCCATCTGGACTCTGCCTCGCTGCTCAGCTGGAGTCCTGAGGCCTGAAAGACATTGCTAGCGCTGAAGTGCGTCCCCCTCAAAATTCATATCTTAGAGCTCCAACCACTAGGACCTCAAAATGTGACTGTTTTTGGAGATAGGGTCTTTAAAGAGGTGATTATACAAAAATGAGGTCACTAGGGTGGGCCCAAATCCAATTTGACTGGTGTCCTTATAAGAGGAAATTTGGACAGAGCCATTCTACAGGAGGAACCAGGACCTCCAGGGGTTGTGAAACTCAAACTCTGAGAGCCAACGGAGGAGCTGACCTGCCCAGGCGGCCCCTGCAGAGGGCCAGCACGCTCAACACCACGACCCTCCTGCAGCCCCGCGTGCTCATCAACAGAAGCTTTTCTCTCCTTAGATTATAGAAGACAGCTGTAGAAAATAAAAGCCAGTGCCCCCATCTCCTCAAGGACCAGGACTTTGCACATTACACACAAAACACAGCAGCACACATTGGCCCCTCCTGCAGACTCACACTATTGGGTGGATGCGCCCATGTTGGCCATAAACTGGATCCTATGACGGATCCTCATTTCGTTTCTGTAACATGCACTTTTCGTTTTTTAAACTCATCTGTTGGCAAGGTCTCTATTCCGGCAGTTTTGGATTGGATGACTTCCATCACGCCCCTCCCAGCTTCAGTCTCATGGTGGTTGCTCATCTCCTTCATTTACTTGGCATCTCCTTAAATTTACTCATATGTTTATCATTTATACAATTACTTTAGCTTAATTACAAGCAACACTAGCAAGAACTTCAAGTTTCAAGGTGCAAGTTACCTGCCCGCCAAGGCTGCATTAAAGCCTTATGTGAACATTATTATGCTCTGGGCCACAGGAATCATTTTGCACACTGCAACGGTCACTCAGCTGATCCCTGGGAAACACTAACTGCCTCGCTGCTGTGTTTGGGGGTCTGTTTTTATGGTTTAGCATTCCCTAACAGCTTTATTGGGGCACAGTTCAATACAATAAAATCCACTCATTGTAAGTTTACAGCTCAATGATTTTTAGTCACTGTATACAGTTCTGCAACCATCACCACAATCCACTTTTAAAACAGTTCCTTTGTCAGAAAAATTTCCTGCATCCCCATCTGCAGCCAACCCTGGCTCTCAGCCTCCAACCTAGACAACCAGTGATCTGGTTTCTGTCTGTATTGATCTGCCTTTCCTGTAAATTTCATATAAATTCCATTCATATAAACGATATGAGTGGAATTGCTATGTTGTAAGTTTCACTTTGCTATACCAAAAGGTTAAGCATACGGTTACTATACAACCCATCAACTCCAGTCCTCGGTATATACACAAGAGAATTGAAAACGTGTTTATGTAAAGAATTGTACTCAACTGTTTATGGTATCATTGTTCATGATAGCCAAAAAGTGGAAACAACATAAATGTCCATCAATTGATGAATGGATAAACCAAATGTGTATTGAAGCGGCCTCGTTGTCTGGGATAATACTCGAGGTTCATTGTCTCATGGTGATGGAGATCAAGGATGTGAACACACAAAGAGTGAGATTAAAAGCAGAAGATTTTTGTTTGTTTGTTTTGTTTTGTTTTTGAGATGGAGTCTCACTGTCACCCAGGCTGGAATGCAGTGGTGCCATCTCAGCTCACTGCAACCTCTGCCTCCCGGGTTCAAGCAATTCTCCTGCCTCAGCCTCCCAAGTAACTGGGATTACAGGCGTGTGCCACCACGCCCGGCTAGTTTTTGTATTTTTAGTAGAGATGGAGTTTCATCATGTTGGCCAGGCTGGTCTCGAACTCCTGACCTCCTGCCCACCTCGGCCTCCCAAAGTGCTGGGATTACAAGTGTGAGCCACCACACCTGGCCAAGAGCAGAAGTTTAATAGGTGAAAGAAAGATAACCACTCTGCTACAGAGAGGGGTCTCAGAAAAATGGGCTCCTGGATCCACAGTGAAATGCAGGGGGTGTTACTGATGAGCTGGTGAGGAGGTGGTGTCTGATCTACATCGGGCGAGAAAAACTGGGTGGACCAGGCGTGCCATTTGCATAGGCCACAAATCTCTGGTAGTCCCCATACTAATCTTTTATTACGCAGATGGGTTCTCTGCCTGAGCTGCCCCGTGTTCTCCATTTCTTTTCTTTTCTTTCTCTTTTTTTGCTAGTTTGTGTAATAATTTTACTGCATAAGAAATTACAGAGATTGCATAAATCATTAGGTCAACAGCATGCAGAGAACAACAAAGCAAAACATTGTTTGGATCAAATAAAAAACAGCAGGAACAACTCAATTCTTAAAAATACCATAAATGTGGCTCCATTTGAGAGAAAATTTTGCATTTTCTGGATAGAGTAATTTCTGTAGTTTCATTAAGCAAAAATGGAAAACAGCTTTTCAGTTAAAAACACTCAAAAGCAACTTGCACAGATGTGTTGCCCTCTTCACCCTGGATGTAACAAACATAAAGATGTGAGGCTGCCTGCCCTTGCCTAAAGCATGGCTTGAACTTTCTATTGATAGTAATCGATTATGCATAACCACCTATGTATTGAAATTGTGCAAGTCAGAGCATCCAAAACTACTGCAAGAGTCAATTTCTTCCTGTGGGGAACAGCATGTAGCTGTACTACATGTTAAAATTTCCATTCCTCGTTCGATTATTTGCCCTATTCCAGACATAAAAATACAAATAAATATTTTCTTACAAACGAAGTTCACAGTATATTGCTTTAAAAAAAGAGAGATTAAAAAAACAAGAATCTTAATTTGCTTTTTCATTAAATAAAAATGCTAACATACAGACACATTCAATATTTATACAAATTGTAGGAGTCAGTCTATCCTTTCTTGGTCATAATTGAAGTTTAATAGTGCTGGTCCATACACGACAAGGCTCAGATCCCAAATGTACGTTCAATTCTACTAAAAGTTGCTCAAGATAATTTTTTTCTCTTTTTCTGTTTAATTAAAAAAGACAATTTTGGAATTTTAGAATTACATTTGAGTTGTCTGAAAAAATACAATTTCAATGAAAAAATCATATCAAGCATTCAAGAGTATATTGCTGGTGCTATCATCTTTTTGCGCCGAAAAAAATCAATAAAATCACATGTCTGAGACTTTTAAATGGTTAAATGTAACCACATACTATTAAAGATATGCTCATGCACACACACACTCAGACTCCAAACATGAAGGAAAAAGGATCAGCGTCTTTCTGTTGCATTTGCATTCTCCTTAGTTCCTGATGCCGTGGGGTGAAGCTGCAAGGAGACTTCATAGCGTTTCTTGGCCGAGTCTAGGTGTCCCCAGCGATGATAAAGCACAGCCAAATTACCACGGTAACTTGAAGCATTTGGATTTGCTTTAATTGCCTTGAGGAGTCAGGCTTCCGATTCCTTGTATTTCTGGGATTTCCCCAGCACGTTTGCCAAGGAGAACACGAGAGAGTGATCATCAGGTATTAATTCCAGCGCGTCTCTTCCAACTGCCTCGGCTTGGGCTGCACTACCTGGGTCGTGAGCAGTGTAACCACGTTGTTCCAGGCCAGGCTGCGCGCTGGTTTCAGCTCGGTGCATTTCTCCACGCATTGAAGGCGTCCACCTGGCGATTGAGATCAGCAGACGCCGGAGGCTGTAGTAACGGTCTGGGTATTTCCTTCTGTTTACTCGCCGTCGGGTAACTTTGCTTGGCGGTTTCAAAGCGTTTCAGGCTGCTCCGCGCTATGCCTAGACTCATCCACGCAGCAGCAAAGTCTGGCTGCATTTGAACAGCCAAAGACAGCAGCTCCTCAGCTTCCTGTAGCTCATTCCTTTCTTTTAAGACATTTGCAAGATTATTCACGGCATGAACATACTTGGGATTTAAGCTTACAGCTTCCCGGTGGTATCTGATGGCGCCCGTCTGGTTGCCTTTAGCAGCCAGGTTTCTGCCGATGTTGCAGCGAACCTCAGCACTGAGGGGACACACAGACACAGCGCCTCTGAAAACCGCCCCTCGCTCCGCCACTCGCCGCCGCGCACCGCGCATCTCAGCCTCTCAGCATCTTGCTGAGTAGGATTCCCAGCACCACGGCAGCGATGAGCTTCTTTTTCTCGGTGTGTTTGCGCAGGCTCCGAATCCAAAAAGCAGCATCACACAGCACCCCACGCTCGGGACCACGAAGCCCGCTCGGAAGAACAGGTTACTTGCGGGGAGAAACGGGATAACGAGCAATCCCAGGCGCAGAGTAAGGATCCTTCTCTGGTGGCCGTCTGCAGAGCACAGGGCTTGGCGTATGAGGCCAACTGGGCGGAACCAGAGCGCTGCAAATGCAGTTACCCTCCAGTCGCTGAGGGACTTCATGAGGGGGCTGCAGCCCACTGACCAATCAAAACACAGCCACCAGGGACGCAGCAGCAGCAGCCAGGCATTCAATGAATAGGAGTAATTGTCGTTTATGGCCCTCGCCAGCACGCGGTCAGCAAAGGAGGCCCAGTTGTCCTCCTCGGTGAAGGCCGGCGGGCCCGGGCCTATGATCCTCCAGCGCACGGAGAGCATCCCAGCCCCTCCGGAGGCGAGCAGGGTCATTCTGAAGAGGAGTCCCGGTTCCTGAGCATGCCAAGATTCTCTCATGACTTGTCCTTATGTGGTACCTTCTGGACAATTTCCAGAACATTGAATTTGCCTCTCACCAAGATGTCAAACACCACGTTCCAACCCAGCACGGTGATCCCTTTCTCTTTGCACAGCATGGCCACTGCTCCCAGAAAGATGCTCAGCAGCACCCAGAAGGTGGAAGAACGTGCTGCCTCCTTATTACTGTCTCTAAATGCTTTACAATAGCCACGGAAGGATAGCAAGAAGAACAGCGTGTTGCCCAGGTGGAAGAACGTGCTCCCTCCTTGTTACTGTCTCTAAATGCTTTACAATAGCCACGGAAGGATAGCAAGAAGAACAGCGTGTTGCCCAGGTGGAAGAACGTGCTCCCTCCTTGTTACTCTCTCTAAATGCTTTACAGTAGCCAGGGAAGGATAACAAGAAGAACAGCGTGTTGCCCAGGTGGAAGAACGTGCTCCCTCCTTGTTACTGTCCCTAAATGCTTCACAGTAGCCACGGAAGGATAACAAGAAGAACAGCGTGTTGCCCAGGTGGAAGAACGTGCTCCCTCCTTGTTACTGTCCCTAAATGCTTTACAGTAGCCACGGAAGGATAACAAGAAGAACAGCGTGTTGCCCAGGTGGAAGAACGTGCTCCCTCCTTGTTACTGTCCCTAAATGCTTTACAGTAGCCACGGAAGGATAACAAGAAGAGCAGCGTGTTGCCCAGGTGGAAGAACGTGCTCCCTCCTTGTTACTGTCCCTAAATGCTTTACAGTAGCCACGGAAGGATAACAAGAAGAGCAGCGTGTTGCCCAGGTGGAAGAACGTGCTCCCTCCTTGTTACTGTCTCTAAATGCTTTACAGTAGCCACGGAAGGATAACAAGAAGAACAGCGTGTTGCCCATTTCTTTATTACTGTACATGTGGTAACCAAAAAAGGGAGGATGGAGCCTCCGTGTGGGACATGTCTGGCCCTTTTCTACTGGCACGGCTGCCAGCGTTCCCCTGTGCAGGCTTCCAGCTGGCTTATCTCTATGTTTCAAGCTCTATTTTTCAGGCTGCTTTTTGTTAGAAAAGAAATGATTTTGGAGGCTGCTTTTTGTTAGAAGGGAAATTCTGCCAAGGACTCTTTTGCCCTCACTATCTGCCTAAATAATTTCTTTCTACCTCCCATATCAGTATATTCACACGATGCAATTTTTTTTTTTTTTTTTTTTTTTTTTTTTGAGAGAAGGCTTCACTCTGTTGCCCAGGCTGGAATTCAGTGGTGGACTCACAGCTCACCGCAACCTTAAACTCCTGGGCTCAATGTTCCTCCCACCTCAGCCTCCCAAGTAGCTGGGACCACAAGTGGGAGCCACCATACATGGCAATTTTTAAAATGTTTTCATAGACGCAGTGTTCCCCACCCCCCGACCCGCCACCCAGCAGGCTGAGTGAAACGAGCCTCTCCAGTACCCACCCATGAAGGGGGTCAAAATCAAGGGAACAATCCCGTCTCATCAGCAGGTCTGAGTTTTTTTCCCAGTTCCAAATTAAATCAGCCCCCTTTGCGGGTGAGACTACTGGTTTTCAAGGCCGGCCCAGCCTAGGATATCAGGGCAGGGTGCCAGAATGACAGCAGCTCCAGGCAAGAAGGCTGCAAAGTCCTGCTGTTCTAACTAGAAGTTCTGGCAGCTTTTTATTATGAGTATATGTTTCTCCATTTGATGATTTGCCTTTGGTCAATTTTGAGAGCTCTGAAATGATCGCTCTTGACAATTTTGTCCCATTTTATACTTTTGGGTGTGGGAACAGATTTGCCAGCTTCTGCCCTCTGCCATGCCTAGAGGCCCACACTTCACTATTTTTGAGTGTATAACGTGGATAGACCATGTGCTGTGTACCCACACCCCTAGTGATCACATTTGAATTGTTTCCTTCCAGGTTTCCTATACTATGGTGATGTAAGGAACAACCATACATGTCTTGGAGCATATATATAGATGTTTCTGCCATGAAAGCATAATCTTTGAAACATTAACAACACATATACATACTGTGTATCTCATCAATATGTCATGTACTTATACAGCAAACACACGCAAAGGCGTATAGCTCATTGATGAGGGAATTGTCAGGATGGCGAGTCTGAGTCACGGGGAGTTAGAGAAGTGGGGTTATGCACTCAGGGAGGAAGAAGGATGGATACAAATGCTAAGTTTGATACAAAACAGGTTAATAAATTCCAAGGCAATAAACCTGTAGCTGCTGGGCTATCTTTTATACACAACAAGAATCATTTAGATCTCAACCCCACAGGGCTACACCTTATCATCCAATGTCTCAGTGAATTTTAACAAGTAGTAAACAGCAAGTCACAGAAAGCTACCTTCCCCTGGGGCTGAGGTTCTGCACGCAGCAGCAGCATCTCCTGGGAACTTGTTAGAAATGGAAATTCCTGGACCCCAGCCCAGACCTAGCAAACAGACTCTGAGGGGGAGCCCAGAGATAGGCGTTTTTATTTATGTTTTATTTTTTTGAGACAGGTTCTCCTCTGTGGCTCAGGCTGGAGTGCAGTGTCACAATCATAGCTCACTGCCGCTGTGGCTAAGTTTTTCTTTTATTTTTTGTGGAGACTAGGTTTTCCTCTTGTTTCCCGGGTGAGTCTTGAAATCCTGGCCTCAAGGGATCCTCTGGCCTGGACCTCCCAAAATGCTGGGATTTTAGGCGTGAGCCACCGCGCCTGGCCTGAGATTTTAAGTATCTTAACACACTCTCAGCCAGGTGTGTGGCTCATGCCTGTAATCCCAGCACTTTGGGAGGCTGAGGCAAGTGGATCACTTGAGCCCAGGAGTTCAAGACCCACCTGGGCAACATGGGGAGACCCCGGTCTCTATGAAAAATACAAAAATTAGCCAGGTGTGGTGGCAAGCAGCTGTGGTCTCAGCTACTGGGGAGGCTGAGGCAGGAGAATTGTTTGAGCCTAGGAGGTCAAGGCTGTAGTGAGCTGAGATGGCAACACTGCACTCCAGCCTGAGGAGAGCCCCCTGCAGTAGGGAGGGGGCTGTTGCAGTAGGAGGTCCATCCTTTGACAGCAAGAACCCCTGTCCCAGGCTACAGAAAGGGCTTCACATTTGCAGGGAGGCGTCAGCAAGGCTAGAAAGACCGCGGCAGGTGGGGCGGGATGAGCAGTGACAGATGGGACAGTGCACCGGGGAGTGTTCTCCTGAAACTGAGATTCTGAGGAGGGGCTGTTAGAGGGGTTCCCATGCTGCTCAAGGTGGGCCAAGGTCACAGCCTGTGGGGAACCAGGAAGCCTGACTAAAGTATGGACAAGTCAACAGGCATTTTATCCAGATTGGTCAGTGCGGACAAACAGTTCAGCTAGTCACTCATGAGTTGAAGATCGGGAATTTGGAGGGTCTGGATCTGGCCTCATCGTTGGTCAACAGGGGTTCACCATCCTGCCTTATCCATGTGGCAGGGGAAAGGCCTACAGGAGGGTGGGGCATTTCTTCTATTTTCTTTTTAATAATTTCAACTTTTATTTCGGATTCAAGGGGTATATCTGCAGGTTTGTTACCTGGGTATATTGTGTGGTGCTGAGGTTTGGGGTATGAACGATCCCCTCACCCAGGTGCTGAGCATAGCACCCTATAGCTTTGCAACCCTACCCTCTCCCTTCCTCCCTCCCCGCTAGGAGTCCCCAGCATCCCTTGTTGCCATCTTTACGTCCATGACTACCCAGTGTTTAGCTCCCACTTACAGGTGAGAACATGCAGTATTTGATTTTCTGTTCCTTCCTTAACTCACTTAGAATGACGGCTTCCACTGCATCCACGTTGCTGCAAAGGACATGATTTCGTTCTTTTTGATGGTTGTGTCATATCCCATGGTGTCTATGTACCACACTTTCTTTATGCAATCCACCGTGGACGGGCACCGTGGCTTCGCTATTGTGAACAGCACTGCGATGAAAATACAAGCGCCAGGTGTCTTTTTGGTGAAACAATTATTTCTTTTGGATGTAAACCCAGTAATGAGATTGCTGGGTCAAAGGGTAGTTCTAAGTTCCTCGAAAAATTTTCAAACTGCTTGAGAGGGTGGAGGATTTCTTAATAGTCGCCGTTTCCCAGGAGCTCAAGGCTCAGGTGGAAGTTTACTATTGTCAGCATCACACCTTGTTTGTCCATTCTCCACTGATGGACACTGGGGAAGTTTCCAGTTTGGATGTCTATGCAATAGAACAGTGCTGCTGGGAAGGTTCTTGCACGGGTCTTTGGTGACCATAGTGGGGTGGATGCTGCGATGCCCCATGCAGATCCCTCCACCCAGACCAGACGCACCCCTCGATTGGGAGCACAGCCTGCACTGAACCCCTCTGTAGGCATTGCCCTGGGGGAAGGGAAATGCCTCACCCAGGGCCACGCCTCCTCCCTGGAAGCAGCCAGGACCCAAAGACTGATTGGAACAGGGGCACAAAGGCCAGGCCCTCCCACCTCAGCCTCACCTCCACTGGACGTTCCTGCAGGCCCCTCCCAGCAGCCCTGGGGTGGGCTGAGGCCTCAGTGGTAACTGTCTTGCCGCTCAGCTCCTCCCTCTGCCCAGTCACGCCTCCCTCCCTCCCTTGAAGATGCTGATCCCAACAGCACTCCCCCAAAACCTTCCTGCACATGAAGCTCTGCTTCAAGGCCGGGCACGATGGCCCTTGAATCCCACAACTTTGAGGGGCCAAGGCAGGTGAATCGCTTGAGCCCAGGAGTTCAAGACCAGCCTGCACAACGTGACAAAACCCCTTACTTACAAAACAACAACAGGAAAAAAAACACAGAAAAAAAATTAGCATGGCCTGGTGGTGTGTGCCTATAGTCTCAGCTACTCGGAGGGCTGAGGTGGGAGGATCGCTTGAGTCTAGGAGGAGGAGGCTGCAGTGACCTGTGATCGAGCCGCTGCATTCCAGTCTGGACAACAGAGCAAAACCCTTCCAAAAAACACAAACAAACAAAATGAAAAAACCAAGTCTCTGCTTCAGAGTCATCTGCTGGGAGCCCAACCTAAGGGTCAGGCGTGAGTTTCCAGTGGGCATCATGCAAGTCAAGGTGCTGGGGCGTTGTCTGCATGAGGTTCCCACTGTGGGTCGTTAGAGCCAGACCAGAGCATGCGTCCAGGTCAGCCCCAGCACACCCGAGGAGCCTCGGTGTTTTCACCAGTAAACAAGACAACAGAACCTACCGTGCAATGACCACGAAGAGTCTAGGAGTTGGCACCTGCCAGCCCAGGGCACAGTAATTCAGGATTGCTAGGGTTAAGTATGGACACTGTCCCGCAGAGGCAGGTGGGCGTGGCCACGAGGGGTGCCTGGGGGTAGGGGCACTAGTACCTGAGGGTCTGTCTGGTGGGACCCTCCCACTTCCTACCCTGCCTGGTTTCCTCATCTGCAAATGAGCTGATCATAGAATCTTCTTTCTAGGTCTGGACTGAGGGCCAAGTGCATGGAGATTGTGAAGGAGCGTGCGGAACTGGGTGGGCCTACTGAGCGCTTGGAAAGGGCGGCTTCCTCCAGGGCAAGCCTGTCTCCCAGGGTCTGGAGGGCCTCAGGGCTGCAAACCACCCCCTCAAATCAGCCTCCTCTGATGGGCTCGGGAGGCACCTAGTGCTCCACCCAGACGGGGTCTTCTGGGAGAGGGGTGAAGGGGGTTGTTGGGACCCCATCTGGCAGTTGAGAAACTTGCAAAATATCAGCCTACAATGAAGTCTTTGGGGCTCAAACTCAGAAGAGATCATGTAGCTGGTGGAAGGCAGTTGAGTTTTGGAGTCAGGACACCTGCACCTGAATCCCACTTGTATTTATGTCACCTCTTAGCTGTGTGACTGCAGGCAAGTTAAATGTCTCCATCAAGGGTACAAGGATAATGAAGCCTACCACATGGGGTTTTAGTTAAGATTAGAGTTTGGAAGTTCACGGTGAATGCCTGGCGTGTAGCAGGTGCTTAGATAAGGAGCAGCTAGCACTAACAAGCATCAGGATTTTTTTTTTTATAGGATGTAAATTTTCAGATCCAAATGCCAGCACATGCATTCTGGCCAATGGAACATAAGGAAAATATTTTGCATTGAGGCTATACTACGAAAGCCAGGACACAAGGTCACAGGGATCAACCAGGGGCCACAACAACTTCTGAAAAAAATAAGTTTTTAAAGAGCAGCCCTGACATTTGGAAGCTGGCGTGGCGCTCACAGCCGCAGCATGCTGTTCTCCTGCTGGACATAAGCAGCCCCACAGAACGCCAGCCCCAGACAGAGCTTGGAGACAAAGATGAAAGGAGACCAAGCCAGGCCACTTCATCACCATATCTAAGCACAGATGGGAGCAAGTTGACTGCACCACCCACAAAGCAGCAAACACCCACTCCCAGCCGAAACCTGTGGCTGTTACGTCTTTGCCAATTACAGCTTTATCTTCCCTCTAGTCTTCCCTTCTCATAGGTTAGATATCATTTATCGAGACACCCAGTCATGGAACCGCCCTCACTTTCTAACAGCATCCAGTTTAAAGCAAACTCAGACCCTGCCCGCAAATGCCCAGCTAAAGTCCAAATCCTATTAATACCTTCTAAGACCGTCTTCCCGGGAGACACCCACAATTCCCTGAAGTGTGTGTTCTCCTTCACTGCAATGAGCGATAATCTGTACTTGTTCAACTGCCTGTGCGTCCCTGGTGGTCTTTGGCTGGAGGCTGCTTGTACGTCCCTGGTGGTCTTTGGCTGTAGGGCATCAGTAGTTCCTAAGCTTCGGGAAGTATTATATGTTCGCTGCTTTTGATATCCCTTATCTGTTACTCATTAATGATCAGTTGTTCAAAATGACGTGCAAAAAAGCCAGTGGGGTGGGGTGGCGCATGCCTGTATTCCCAGCTACTGCTTGAGCCCGGGAGTTAGGGTACAGCCTGGGCAATGCGGCAAGACCCCATCTCTAATAATAAACCACAACCTCTCCTTACTCAGTGAAGTCCCATAGACTTGTCCAGAGCACTGAAGAGGCTGTGTCCTCTCAGAAGGGTGGGCTGCAGCTTTGAAAAGAGACAGAAAGGAGGCGGAGCTCCTACAGACACCCAAGGAGGCGGGCACAGCAGGGGTGCCCTGGAAGCAACACCCAAGGAATCCTAAGAAAGGAGTGACGGATCTGCTGCCCCTGCCTGGTTCCTTGCATGGTCTTGTTCATCACTGGACATTCCTGTGAAATTGCACCAAGTGACCCATCTAAAACTCAGTCACAGCCTGCGGCTTTTGTGGCAGCCATGATGAAAGCCAGACAGGCTCTAGGGGCGCAGTGGTGAGCAGACAGGCCAGGTCCCTGTGGTCATAAGCTTACAGTCTAAGGGCAGGAGACAGTGACGAACCAAGTGTTACAGTTTAACTTTATCACTGTTAAAAATTAAGGGATGGCCAGGTGCAGTGGCTCACACCTGTAATACCAGCACTTTGGGAGGCCAAGGTGGGCAGATCACTTGAGGTCAGGAGTTCAAGACCAGCCAGCCAATATGGCAAAACCCATCTCTACTAAAAACACAAAAATTTGCGAGGCGTGGTGGTGTGCACCTGTGATCCCAGCTACTCAGGAGGCTGAGGCAGGAGAATCTCTTGAACCTGGGAGACAGAGGTTGTAATGAGCTGAGATCACAGCACTGCACTCCAGCCTGGGTGACAGAGCGAGACCCTGTCTCAAAAAAAAAAGAAAAATTAAGGGACAACCTCAGTGAAAATATTTGCAACACATATAACAGATTAGGAGATAATACACACATTACATATAAAATATAACAAATGTCTGGAATAAGTAAATATTTATATTTATATATTAAACACATGTAAAGAACTTCTAAAAATTGGTTAAACCATTAAAACCTCCATGAGGGAAAATAGCAAAGGATATGAACAGGCAATTCCAGAATAAAATAAGTGAATGTATAAAAAATACACTCAGTTAAAACAATAGTAAGACATTTCTTGCTTAGCCAATTGCCAATGTTGCAATGATTTATAGAACCCACCAAGGGTAAGGAATTGGCGGCCTAGCACCCTGCTTGTGGGAGCACAAGGGGCTCACCTGCTAGAGGGCAGTTTGGGAGGAATTATAGACATGAAAGAAACCTTTCTTTTACACCAGCCTTCCAGGGCTAGGAAAGTCTTCTGAAAATCCCAGTACAAAGAAATCTGCACAAAGATAAGCCTCCATGTATTACTAACTGTAATAACTTTGGTCCTGGTGCAGGAAGAACCAAGAAGATCAATGGAGTGGAACTGAAGCAATAAAGAGACTCAAATGTGTTTGGGAATTGAGCACATGGTAATGGTGTAGTTTCATTGGAGAGAATAGAGTTACCTGTGTAATAGAAAACCAAGTCAAAAGCAAGAAAAATTAATGGTGAAGATAATTTTGTGGTTACAAAAAAAAAAAAAAAGGGAAGTGGGACTGACTGCATGGGACTGGAGGGAGAGAGGTGGGTTAGAGCAAGTTTGGTTTTTTTCCCTTTCCCTTGGTCAGCAAACTACCCTCAAGCCAAACCCAGCCTGCAATCTATTTTTCTACCGCCCAGTGAGCTAAGAACATTTTTTACACTTTTTACTGGTTGAAAAAATTAAAAGAATAATATTTCATGACATGTGGAAATTAGATGAAATTTGAATGTTGGTGTCTGAGTCAAGTCCCATTGGCACACACGTCCCATTGGCACACAGCGCCTCCCTCTCGTTATGTGTCACCTTTACTGGCTTTGGCACCAAAAGGGCAGACGTGGGTACTTCCGACAAAACTGAAAAGATTCCATACGTGGCCCTTGCAGAGAAAGCTTGCAGACCCCTGCTTTAGAGAGAGGAGGTATGAGAGTTTAGGCTTTGGTGTGGGTGGCTGGGGAGGTCCCCTGGTTCAGGAAATGGTGATTCCAAGGGCGGTTGCTGTCTGGGTTCTGGTGCTGTCCTCCTCCTCTGTCCACCCCATATCTAATGCATTCTGAGTGCTCGCTGGGCAGTCAGTGCAGGGCGGGACAACAGTCACGTGTTGCTTCCCAAGACATACAGTCACGGGCCCCTTAACAACAAGGATGCATTCTGGGAAATGGTGATTAGGTGGCTCTTGGAAGGTGCACCTCATTTACCCCTAGGCTGGGTGGCATAGCCCATCGCTCCCACGAGTGATGTCTGTGCTACGACAGTACCACGGCTATGACATCCCTAGGCCATAGGAATTCTTCAGCTCCATCATAGTCATGGGACCACTGTCATGCACGTGTCCCTCCTTGCCTGGAAGGTTGCTGTGCAGTGCATGACGGCACTTCCATGTCAGCGGGTGCCTCGCTGGCCCATCTCCTGCCCCTGCTCACTCTGTCTGCCACCTTCCAGCAGCTCCCCGCCCTAAAGCCATCCTGATGCTGCTTTTCCGCCATTTCTTCCTCTGTGCATGTTACCCCAAACTCCACAGGGGCTGCTGCTTGCTTGACATGCATTCTGGAACCTTCCGGGATCCTGTCCCAGTGCCCCCGAGCAGAAGCGGCAAGCAAGGGCCAACTCAGCCCAGGGCTGCCTCTGTCCAAGGCCCTCTGTCCAGGTCGACAGGCATCTTCCCCTCCCCAGGGGGAGTGCAGGCTCCAGATGAGTTTCTGTCTCCCCAGCTGAGAACCTTTGTCTTGGTTCGGGTTGCTGTAACACAATACCATATGCCAGGCTGCTCAACGAACATTGATTTCTCACAGTTTTGCAGGCTGGAAGTCTAGATCAGGGTGCAGCACACTGGAGTTCTTGGTAAGGATCCTCTTCCTGATTTCTGCCCAGCTGCCTTCTCACTGTATCCCCACGAGAGAGGGAGAGGAACCAGCTCTCAGTCTCAGTTCTGTCTCCCTGTGAATCTGAGAGTGCGCTGAGGCCAGGAACCTTTGTCCCCAGGCGCAGCTACTCCAGAGGCTGAGGTGGGAGGACTGCTTAGGTCCAGGAGGTTGATGCTGCAGGGAGCTGTGACTGCACTCCAGCGGCGGAGACAGAGCAAGACCCTGTCTCAAAAGGAAGGAAAGAAGGAGAAGAAAGAAAAGGAAGTTTTCATGCCCGACGCGGTAGCATAAGGGGGCATGGGAGACCGGACGAGAGGGTGTGGCAGCGACCGCAGGGAGAGGAGACGGCGGACGCGGAACTGTGCGGGGTTGGCAGTGGGCTTGGGGGTGGCACAGCGGGGACGCGCTGGCACCGGTTTCTGAGAGGGGACATTCGGGAGAAGCTGCCTGGGGAATGGGAGGCCACGAGTTCGGGCGTGGAGACGGAGCTTCAGGGCCTGGAGAAAGGGGAGTGGAAATGACGGAGGAAGTATCCGTATCGCATCCTCGGTTTGCCCGAGAGATGTCTGTGCCGCCACGTTTACCGCAGCGCTGTTCACAATAGCCCAGATCTGCGAGCAAAGGCAGCGGCCGTCGGTGCAGGAGTGGGCGGAGGCACCGAGGTGGATGCGCAGCAGAGCACCACTCAGCCGCAAGAACACGATAATCCCGGCCGGGCGCGGGGGCTCACGCCTGTAATCCCAGCACTTTGGGAGGCCGAGGCGGGCGGATCACGAGGTCAGGAGATCGAGACCAGCCTGACCAACATGGTGAAACCCCGTCTCTACTAAAAATACAAAAAATTAGGGCGCGGTGGCGGGCGCCTGTAGTCCCAGCTACTCGGGAGGCTGAGGCAGGAGAATGGCGTGAACCCGGGAGGCGGAGCTTGCAGTGAGCCGAGATCACCCCACTGCACTCTGGCCTGGATGACAGTGCGAGACTCCGTCTCAAAAAAAGAAAGAAAAGAAAAGAAAAGAAATACCTGAGGCTGGGTAATTGATAAGAAAAGAGGCTTAATTGGCTCATGGCTCTGCAGGCTGTGCAGGAAGCATACCGCCAGCTTCTGCTTCTGGCGAGGCTTCAGGAAGCTTCCAATCACGGCAGAAGGCAAAGAGGGAGCAGGCACATCACATGGCGAAGGTGGGAGCAAGAAGGCGGGGGGTGCCACACACTTTTTAAAACCTTATCAGGGGAGAACTCATAATAGGGAGGACAGCACCAAGGCCGTGGTGCTAAACCATTCATGAGAAATCCATCCTCATGATCCAATAACCTCCCACCAGGCCCCACCTCCAATATTGGGAATTACATTTCAACGTAAATTTTGACGAGGACATAAATACAAACTATATTACTACCCTTAAACAATTGGAAATTGCTTTGTTTTTGAGAAATAAAAGAATGCTGAATTCTGTTCTGTTGCTTTGGTTGTACACTTTAGTGAAAATTGAAAGGTTATGTTAATTTCTGAAGAATTATAATGATAAAAAACGGTGCAGACACAACCTGCACTTTGCAAGCATTGCAGACTTAAGTTTTTTGGGGGAAACTATACATAATTAAATAGTTTCCCAGTGAGCTCAGCCAGCCCATTCAGGGCAGTGCCCAGACATATGCTTGTGGCAAACTCTAGCCAAGCAACTTACCTACAGGAGAAAAAAAGACTCACTGTTTCAAGAGGAGCTGTGGTGCTTCTCTCCTTTCTCCTCTTTTTCTTGTATAAACCCTACATTCACCTGTATTCAACAAAATCAGCCAACTAATTGGTTTCTGTGTGTGTATTCAAGAAAATCAGCCAACTAATTGGTTTCTATGTGTGTATTCGAGAAAATCAGCCGACTAATTGGTTTCTATGTGTGTGTATTCGAGAAAATCAGCCAACTAATTGGTTTCTGTGTGTTTGTGTTCAAGTGAACGTCCACATTCACTCAGCTGTGCTGTGTCTCTGAGCTACTCTCTGACTCTGCAACCCTCCCCTTTTAAATGGTTGCACTGGACTCTGTATTCTTGTGCGCTCATACCCATTACCAAGCTCAAAGGGACCCACGGAAGAAGCTCAGAACTCTTATGAGAAATAAAATACCGCCGTGTGTCGTGACTAATTATGATGGCAGAAAAGCATCAAGCCGGTTTCCGTAGTGTAGTGGTTATCACGTTCGCCTCACACGCGAAAGGTCCCCGGTTCGAAACCGGGCGGAAACAGTTCCTTCTACTTTTCACTTAACTGCTTCAAATTTATTACACCGAAGACTAGCCTAGAACATCCCACCAATATCTCCACCCACTTAAGGAGAAAAGGCTATCAAGGGTATTTATACCGTTGCCTTTCCGCCGCAATCATTGGCATCTGGGAAGAACGGAACCCACCTCACTTGCTGTTGACACCAGCATGACGAACTCCCCACAAAGCCCGTCCAGTGGATGGATGCACAATGCCAAATGGAATTCCCGATGCCGGGAAAGCGTGGGGCCCAAGGCGACTTCCTCCTTTTGTAACCCATGAAGGGACAAAAATGGAGGAATCACAACAAGCTGGCAGCGGTGGGATTCGAACCCACGCCTCCGAAGAGACTGGAGCCTTAATCCAGCGCCTTAGACCGCTCGGCCACGCTACCCTCCTTCTGGGCTTCACCTACATCTTTTCCTTCCTTATAAAACATCCCCAGGGTCCCCGGGCCAACAAGGCGTCGAGGCGAATCCACAGGGCATCGCAGAACCACCGCCTTCCAGCAGGATTCGCTGGGCCAGAGGCCCCGGCTGGGAAACGGCTCCACCAGCGCCCCGGCAGAGAAGGTTCGCGAAGCGCAGGTCTCGGGATTTGCTTTGGGGGCCACTCAGAAAGTCACCCACATTGGCCCTCTTTGGGGAGGCGGCGTGAGAGGAGGGGAAGCCTTCTGCACTCTTTAAAGAAAGATAAAAATAAATAAACCAGGGCAGACCCGGTCCGCTCGGGGCCGCCTAGTCCTGCAGCCGCCGCGCCGCACTCCACAGGCAGCAGCGCACAGGGCGCGACTCCGGGGAGGCCGCGGCCCGCGGGGTCCGTCCGTCCTGCGGTCCCCAGCCCCGTCCCCTGGAGCTTGGCGCCCGCTCTGCCCGGATCCGCCCCGGCCCGGGGCTCCTGCCCGCCGTCCAGTCCGCGCAGGGACCCCGAGCAGCCTCGCCGTGCACGGCCCCGCCGGGCTCAGTTCTGGGCTCGCGCTTCCACCGCCCCCGCCTGGCTCCCAGTTTCTTTCTGTCTCCCGCGGAACCGACCTCCTTCCCCCGAATCTCCGCCAGCTCTTCTCCCCCTCCCCCTACGCCCCGTGCTTTGCTCTCCCGCTTCTCGCCTCGCCCGCGGCTGGGGGAAGGATAAGAGGGGAGGGGAGGGCAAGGGAGGGCAGGGGAGGGGTGGGGAGGGGAGGGCAGGGGAGGGGTGGGGAGGGGTGGCGAGGGGAGGGGAGGGCAGGGGAGGGGTGGCGAGGGGAGGGGAGGGCAGGGGAGGGGTGGGGAGGGGTGGGGAGGGGTGGGCAGGGGAGGGGTGGGGAGGGGTGGGGAGGGGAGGGCAGGGGAGGGGTGGGGAGGGGAGGGGAGGGCAGGGGAGGGGTGGGGAGGGGAGGGGAGGGGACGGGACCCCAAGGCCGAAGCGCCCCGGGGGGCGGAGGTGCACCCGGATTTCCAGTCGCGGGTCCCACGCGGCCACCTCCAGTCCCGCCCGTCAGCGCCGACTTCATGAGCAACCCGAGCCTGCTGCAGGACAGCGAGGACTTTTGCGGACGCCGGGACGCCGCGCCGCAGCACCCACCCGGGACCCCGCCTCCGCCGGGCAGCAGCGCAGGGGCAGCTCGTCCCGTCGCACCGCGTCGCGCAGCCTGTCCCACGCCGACCTCAGCACCAGGGCCGACGAGAGCTCGGCGGAGAAGCGGCTCGCGCTGTCGCAGATCTGCGAGTGGATGGTCAAGAGCGTGCCCTGCTCCCAGGGCGACAGCAACAGCTCGGCGGGCTGCAGGAATTCACTTCGTCATCTTCTGTCCCTACACAGCAAGCTGACTCGCGCGCAGAATGAAGGAACTGGAAAAAGTGCTCGGTGGACGCTGGATCCAGAGGGCGGCAAGGGTGGGAGATCTCTTAGGACAAGAGCTGCATCCATGGACAGCAGCAGCAAATGCGCTCGGAGCCTAAGTCAAGCTGCCACGAAAAAAGCATCCTGCAGTCTAGCCAGGGGGGTGCCGGGGACAGCCCTGGACCCCAGTTTTCCAGATGGCCTGCAAGCCCTGGCTCTCACAGCAATGATGACTTTAATAGCTGGAGTGCATTTCGCCCTGGAACTAGCTCAAATGCTAGTACTGTTACTGGGAGACTTTCACCCATTATAGTCAAAGGAGACTATCTTGGAGATGGGGACGCACATTCTGTGGGGTACCCGCCATCTGCGGCAAAGATGCCCCTACTCCACCCAGTCTGAGACAAGCAATCCTGAAACGTGGAAAGCTTTCTGAGTGATCTCAGTCTTATCTCCTCACCAACATCATTAACTGTGTCCACCCAGTCCTCACCTGGCACCATGATGCAGCAGACGCCAGCTACTCCTTTGTGCCACCAAACACCAGTCTGAATTCGCCCAGCCAAACTGCAAAAAACAGACGTAGGGCCAGTCCAACATGAGCCCTTTGCCCCAGATGCAAACACTCCAGGAGCACAAATCAAGTTACGGAGCTGTGAGTCCGTGTAACTGTGTAGCGGGACTCCTGGAGGAGATGCTGACTTCTGACTCTCCTCCCCATAATGACATTATGACACCAGCTGATCCTGGAGTAGCCCAATCCAACAGTCGGTTTCTGGGCCAGAATACCATGATGGGCCTTAATTCAGCCATGTCAACCTATGGCAGCCAGGCATCTGGATACAAAATGAGGCATCCCAGCTCCCATATCCACCCTGGGCATGCTCAGCAGACATATGCAGCTTACGGCCGTGCCCTGTCTCACACGGAAAACACCAAGCCCCACACCTCAGGTGTGAACCAACTGACCCCAGTGAAGACACCTTTGCAAGTGCCTCTGCCCCACCCCATGCAGATGAGTGCCCTGGGGGGCTACTCCTCGGTGAGCAGCTGCAGTGGTTATGGCAGAATGGACCTTCTCCACCAGGAGAGGCTTCCAAGTGACTTGGACGGCATGCTCACTGAGCCCTTGGACTGTGACATGGAATCCAAATCTTCATTTGGAATGACCTCATGGATGGAGACACGCTGGATTTTTCACCTTGGCAATGTTTTGCCCAGCCAAAGCTCCTCACACAGTGTCAAGACAAGGACACATAGCTGCGTGTCAGGCTGAGAACTGGTGAGCCCGCTACACTTAAAAGTACTTCATCGGCTGGGCACAGTGTCTCCCGCCTGTAATCCCAGCACTTTGGGAGGCTGAGGTGGGCGGATCACGAGGTCAGGAGATCGGGACCAACCTGACCAACGTGGTGAAACCCTGTCTCTACAAAAAATACAGAAATTGCCTGGGTGTGGTGGCACGTGCCTGTAATCGCGGGTACTCTGGAGGCTGAGGCAGAAGAATCGCTTGAACGTGGGAGGCGGAGATTGCAGTGAGCCCAGATGGCACCACTGCACTCCAGCCTGGAAACAAAGCAAGACTCCGTCTCAAAGAAAAAAAAAACAACTTCAGATTGTCTGACAACAGGAACTGAGAGTCCCCTCCCCTCGCCTGCCCTCCCCTCGCCTGCCCTCCCCTCCCCTCGCCTGCCCTCCCCTCCCCTCCCCACCCCTCCCCTCCCTACCCCTCCCCTGCCCTCCCCTCCCCACCCCTCCCCTCGCCTGCCCTCCCCTCCCCTCCCCACCCCTCCCCTGCCCTCCCCTCCCCTCCCCACCCCTCCCCTCGCCTGCCCTCCCCTCCCCTCCCCACCCCTCCCCTCGCCTGCCCTCCCCTCCCCTCCCCACCCCTCCCCTCCCTTGCCCTCACCTCCCCTCCCCACCCCTCCGCACCCCTCCTCACCCCTCCCCTCCCTACCTCTCCCCACCCCTCCCCTCCCCACCCCTCTGCTCCCCACCCTTCCCCTCCTCACCCCTCCCCTCCCTACCTCTCCCCACCCCTCCCCTCCCCACCCCTCTGCTCCCCACCCTTTCCCTCCCCGCCCCACCCCTCCCCACCCGTCCCCTCCCCTCCCCTCCCCTCCAGTCCCTTCCCCCAGCCGCGGGCGAGGCGAGAAGCGGGAGAGCAAAGCACGGGGCGTAGGGGGAGGGGGAGAAGAGCTGGCGGAGATTCGGGGGAAGGAGGTCGGTTCCGCGGGAGACAGAAAGAAACTGGGAGCCAGGCGGGGGCGGTGGAAGTGCGAGCCCAGAACTGAGCCCGGCGGGGCCGTGCACGGCGAGGCTGCTCGGGGTCCCTGCGCGGACTGGACGGCGGGCAGGAGCCCCGGGCCGGGGCGGATCCGGGCAGAGCGGGCGCCAAGCTCCAGGGGACGGGGCTGGGGACCGCAGGACGGACGGACCCCGCGGGCCGCGGCCTCCCCGGAGTCGCGCCCTGTGCGCTGCTGCCTGTGGAGTGCGGCGCGGCGGCTGCAGGACTAGGCGGCCCCGAGCGGACCGGGTCTGCCCTGGTTTATTTATTTTTATCTTTCTTTAAAGAGTGCAGAAGGCTTCCCCTCCTCTCACGCCGCCTCCCCAAAGAGGGCCAATGTGGGTGACTTTCTGAGTGGCCCCCAAAGCAAATCCCGAGACCTGCGCTTCGCGAACCTTCTCTGCCGGGGCGCTGGTGGAGCCGTTTCCCAGCCGGGGCCTCTGGCCCAGCGAATCCTGCTGGAAGGCGGTGGTTCTGCGATGCCCTGTGGATTCGCCTCGACGCCTTGTTGGCCCGGGGACCCTGGGGATGTTTTATAAGGAAGGAAAAGATGTAGGTGAAGCCCAGAAGGAGGGTAGCGTGGCCGAGCGGTCTAAGGCGCTGGATTAAGGCTCCAGTCTCTTCGGAGGCGTGGGTTCGAATCCCACCGCTGCCAGCTTGTTGTGATTCCTCCATTTTTGTCCCTTCATGGGTTACAAAAGGAGGAAGTCGCCTTGGGCCCCACGCTTTCCCGGCATCGGGAATTCCATTTGGCATTGTGCATCCATCCACTGGACGGGCTTTGTGGGGAGTTCGTCATGCTGGTGTCAACAGCAAGTGAGGTGGGTTCCGTTCTTCCCAGATGCCAATGATTGCGGCGGAAAGGCAACGGTATAAATACCCTTGATAGCCTTTTCTCCTTAAGTGGGTGGAGATATTGGTGGGATGTTCTAGGCTAGTCTTCGGTGTAATAAATTTGAAGCAGTTAAGTGAAAAGTAGAAGGAACTGTTTCCGCCCGGTTTCGAACCGGGGACCTTTCGCGTGTGAGGCGAACGTGATAACCACTACACTACGGAAACCGGCTTGATGCTTTTCTGCCATCATAATTAGTCACGACACACGGCGGTATTTTATTTCTCATAAGAGTTCTGAGCTTCTTCCGTGGGTCCCTTTGAGCTTGGTAATGGGTATGAGCGCACAAGAATACAGAGTCCAGTGCAACCATTTAAAAGGGGAGGGTTGCAGAGTCAGAGAGTAGCTCAGAGACACAGCACAGCTGAGTGAATGTGGACGTTCACTTGAACACAAACACACAGAAACCAATTAGTTGGCTGATTTTCTCGAATACACACACATAGAAACCAATTAGTCGGCTGATTTTCTCGAATACACACATAGAAACCAATTAGTTGGCTGATTTTCTTGAATACACACACAGAAACCAATTAGTTGGCTGATTTTGTTGAATACAGGTGAATGTAGGGTTTATACAAGAAAAAGAGGAGAAAGGAGAGAAGCACCACAGCTCCTCTTGAAACAGTGAGTCTTTTTTTCTCCTGTAGGTAAGTTGCTTGGCTAGAGTTTGCCACAAGCATATGTCTGGGCACTGCCCTGAATGGGCTGGCTGAGCTCACTGGGAAACTATTTAATTATGTATAGTTTCCCCCAAAAAACTTAAGTCTGCAATGCTTGCAAAGTGCAGGTTGTGTCTGCACCGTTTTTTATCATTATAATTCTTCAGAAATTAACATAACCTTTCAATTTTCACTAAAGTGTACAACCAAAGCAACAGAACAGAATTCAGCATTCTTTTATTTCTCAAAAACAAAGCAATTTCCAATTGTTTAAGGGTAGTAATATAGTTTGTATTTATGTCCTCGTCAAAATTTACGTTGAAATGTAATTCCCAATATTGGAGGTGGGGCCTGGTGGGAGGTTATTGGATCATGAGGATGGATTTCTCATGAATGGTTTAGCACCACGGCCTTGGTGCTGTCCTCCCTATTATGAGTTCTCCCCTGATAAGGTTTTAAAAAGTGTGTGGCACCCCCCGCCTTCTTGCTCCCACCTTCGCCATGTGATGTGCCTGCTCCCTCTTTGCCTTCTGCCGTGATTGGAAGCTTCCTGAAGCCTCGCCAGAAGCAGAAGCTGGCGGTATGCTTCCTGCACAGCCTGCAGAGCCATGAGCCAATTAAGCCTCTTTTCTTATCAATTACCCAGCCTCAGGTATTTCTTTTCTTTTCTTTTCTTTCTTTTTTTTTTGAGATAGAGTCTGGCTCTGTCGCCCAGGCTGGAGTGCAGTGGCATGATCTCTGCTCACTGCAACCTCTGCCTCCTGGGTTCAAGAGATTCTCCTGCCTCAGCCTCCTGAGTAGCTGGGATTACAGGTGCACGCCACCACACCTGGCTAATTTTTGTATATATTTTTTTACATTTTATTTATTATACTTTAAGTTCTAGGGTACATGTGCACAACATGCAGGTTTGTTACATATGTATACATGTGCCATGTTGGTGTGCTGCACCCATTAACTCGTCATTTACATTAGGTATATCTCCTAATTCTATCCCTCCCCCCTCCCCCCACCCCACGACAGGCCCCAGTGTGTGATGTTCCCCTTCCTGTGTCCAAGTGTTCTCATTGTTCAATTCCCACCTATGAGTGAGAACATGCGGTGTTTGGTTTTCTGTCCTTGCGACAGTTTGCTCAGAATGATGGTTTCTAGCTTCATCCATGTCCCTACAAAGGACATGAACTCATCCTTTTTTATGGCTGCATAGTATTCCATGGTGTATATGTGCCACATTTTCTTAATCCAGTCTATCATTGATGGACATTTGGGTTGGTTCCAAGTCTTTGCTATTGTGAATAGTGCCACAATAAACATATGTGTGCCTGTGTATTTATAGCAGCATGATTTATAGTCCTTTGGGTATATGCCCAGTAATGGGCTGGCTGGGTCAAATAGTATTTCTAGTTCTAGATCCTTGAGGAATAGCCACACTGTCTTCAACAATGGTTGAACTAGCTTATAGTCCCACCAACAGTATAAAAGTGTTCTGTTTCTCTACATCCTCTCCAGCACCTGTTGTTTAAGCATTCCTATACACCAATAACAGACAAACAGAGAGCCAAATCATGACTGAACTCCCATTCACAATTGCTTCAAAGAGAATAAAATACCTAGGAATCCAACTTACAAGGGATGTGAAGGACCTCTTCGAGGAGAACTACAAACCACTGCTCAATGAAATAAAAGAGGACACAAACAAATGGAAGAACATTCCATGCTCATGAATAGGAAGAATTAATATTGTGAAAATGGCCATACTGCCCAAGGTAATTTATAGATTCAATGCCATCCCCATCAAGCTACCAATGCCTTTCTTCACAGAATTGGAAAAAACTACTTTAAAGTTCATATGGAACCAAAAAGGAGCCCGCGTCACCAAGTCAATCCTAAGCCAAAATAACAAAGCTGGAGGCATCACACTACCTGACTTCAAACTATACTACAAGGCTACAGTGACCAAAACAGCATGGTACTGGTACCAAAACAGAGATATAGACCAATGGAACAGAACAGAGCCCTCAGAAATAATGCCACATATCTACAACCATCTGATCTTTGACAAACCTGACAAAAACAAGAAATGGGGAAAAGATTCCCTATTTAATAAATGGTGCTAGGAAAACTGGCTAGCCATATG
Source organism: Homo sapiens (assembly GCF_000001405.40). Classification (NCBI taxonomy): domain Eukaryota; kingdom Metazoa; phylum Chordata; class Mammalia; order Primates; family Hominidae; genus Homo; species Homo sapiens. The sequence goes on along the minus strand of NC_000005.10, from coordinate 181,094,437 downwards.
TAGAAAGCTGAAACTGGATCCTTTCCTTACATCTTATACAAAAATTAATTCAAGATGGATTAAAGACTTAAATGTTAGACCTAAAACCATAAAAACTCTAGAAGAAAACCTGGGCATTACCATTCAGGACATAGGCATGGGCAAGGACTTCATGTCTAAAACACCAAAAGCAATGGCAGCAAAAGCCAAAATTGACAAATGGGATCTAATTAAACTAAAGAGCTTCTGCACAGCAAAAGAAACTACCATCAGAGTGAACAGGCAACCTAGAGAACGGGAGAAAATTTTTACCATCTACCCATCTGACAAAGGGCTAATATCCAGAATCTACAAAGAACTTAAACAAATTTACAAGAAATAATTTTTGTAGTTTTAGTAGAGATGGGGTTTCACCATGTTGATCAGGTTTGTCTCGAACTCCTGACCTCATGATCCACCTGCCTCAGCCTCCCAAAGTGCTGGGAATACAGGCATGAGCCACTGCACCCGGCCGGTTTTAGGAGTTTCTATTGACATGTCCTCAAGCGCAGTGACTCTTTTCTCAGCTGTGTCCAGTTTATTAATGAGACCAAAGGCATTCTCCATTTCAGTTAGTGTTTGAACTCTAGCATTTCTTTCTGATTTTTTTCGTAGAATTTTCATGTCTGTGTACATCACCATCTGTTCTTGCATGCTGTCCACATTTTCCATAAGAGCCTTGGCATATCATTCATAGTTGTTTTAAATTCATGGTCTGTTAATTGTACCATCCCTGACATATCTGAATTTGGTTCTAATGCTTGCTCTGTCTCTCTAAACTGTGCTTTTTGCTTTTTAATGTGCCTTGTAATTTTTGTTGTTGCTGAACAACAAAATGATGTACTACTAGATAAAAGGAACTCTGGTAAATAGGCTTTTAGTGATGTGGCATTAAAGTGGGGGACGAGGAGTGTTCTATAGCTTTATGGTTGGGTCTCAGTCGAGGAGTGTTCTGTAGCTTTATGGTTGGGTCTCAGTCTATTTTTTTTTTTTTTTCTGAGATGGAGTCTTGTTCTGGAATGCAGTGGTGCAATCTCAGCTCACTGCAACCTCCACCTCCCAGGCTCAAGTGATTCTCCTGCCTCAGCCTCCCGAGTATCTGGGACTACAGGCATGTGCAACCATGCCTGGCTAATTTTTGTATTTTTAGTGGAGACAGGGTTTTGCCATTTTGGCCAGGCTGGTCTTGAACTCCTGATCTCAGGTGATCCACCTGCCTCGGCCTCCCAAATTGCTGGGATTACAGTTGTGAGCCACTGGGACCACCCAGGTGTCAGACTTTTAGTGAGCCTGTGCCCTTGGGCTATGAACTTTACCACTGGTTTTCAGTTTCTTCCCACTCTTAGGTGGGACAGGAGGGCTAGACGGGGCTGGAGTTGGGTATTTCTCTTCCCCCAGGTCATTTAGCCTCTGGTAAAGTAGTTTTTCTTGAGGACAGGCCGGGTGAAAAGCAGAATGTTCTGGTGTGTTTCAAAATGGCTACATTTCCCCTCCCCCTACTGTAATTAGGAGGGGATTATTCTGGGATCTTCACGGAGAACCTGGCAGAGCTGGAGGTGAAATGCATTACGGTGTAGGGCCCCCTATGACTGAGGCCCCCTGGAGATTTCAACTCTCAGACTCGTCTACAGGGAACCTCCAGCAATTCTTCAGCTACTGTTCCGTCTTCCTGCCGTGGCTTTGGCGCCCATGAGTTTCTGCTCTGGTAAGTCGTGATTCTTTGTGTCTGCCTGTCTGCCTCTCATACTTGGGAGGCAGTGCTTTGCCCTGTGACCTCATTTCTCTGGATCTAAGAAGAGTTGTTGGTTTTTTCAGTCTGTTCAGCTTTTTACGTGTTGTTAGGACCAAGTGACGACTTCCAGGCTCCTTCTGTGGTGGGCCAGAAACTGGAAGTCTGACCACAGGCACTTTCCCTAGTTGGGGCAAGGTCTCAGCACCAAGGGACAGACCTCAGGAGGGCCAGGGGTGGGGTGAGCAGGGCCCTGAGATGATGGGAGCATTGGGTGGACCTACCTCCCTCATGCCAGAGCTTTAACAGGTTTCGTTGGCACAGATGTGTGGGGAGGGGCACACGAGAGGGTTTTTCATATTTTTTGGCAGTTTTTACAAGTAGGCCTCCCATGCCCTCGTCTATCTCCTTCTCCATGCAACAACCCTGGAGAAGTTTGTTATGAGGGAGGGTTCTTGTCTTCCCTTTTACACTCATATCCCAAGCTCCAGCCCTGTGCCTGATGTGGAGGAGGAAATAGATGTCAGGTGAGCTATGATGCCAACGCTGGAATATATAACCAAAAAATATGTTGGAAAACTAGAAACAAGAACACGCAGGATCCTAGAATAAGAAAGCATAGCTTGGGCACGGTGGCTCATGCTTGTAATTTCAACACTTTGGGAGGTTGAAGTGGGTGGGTCGTTTGAGCCCAGGAGTTCAAGACCAACCTGGGCAACATGGCAAAACCTCGTCTTTACAAAAACTACAAAAATTGGCCAGGTGTGGTGGCACATGCCTGTAGTCCCAATACTCGGGGGTGCTGAGGTGGGAGGATCATGTGAGCCCAGAAGGCAAAGGCTGCAGTGAGCTGTGATCATACCACTGCACTCCAACCCGGGTGACAGAGACCCCGTCTCGAAAATAATAATAATAAAGCATTGTTGGATTCTTGCCAGAGGCTGCCTGCAACACACCTGTAACTGCAAATTTTAACATGTAGTGAAATCTCATTGTTTTAACTTGCAGTTCTCTAATACTGAACGATACCATTATCATTCATTATATAATACTGAGTGACGCCATTATCATTCATTATATAATACTGAGTGACGCCATTATCATTCATTATATAATACTGAGTGACGCCGTTATCATTCATTATATAATACTGAGTGACGCCGTTATCATTCATTATATAATACTGAGTGACGCCGTTATCATTCATTATATAATACTGAGTGACGCCGTTATCATTCATTATATAATACTGAGTGACGCCGTTATCATTCATTATATAATACTGAGTGACGCCGTTATCATTCATTATATAATACTGAGTGACGCCGTTATCATTCATTATATAATACTGAGTGACGCCGTTATCATTCATTATATAATACTGAGTGACGCCGTTATCATTCATTATATAATACTGAGTGACGCCGTTATCATTCATTATATAATACTGAGTGACGCCGTTATCATTCATTATATAATACTGAGTGATAGCATTATCATTCATTATATAATACTGAGTGATGCCATTATCATTCATTATATAATACTGAGTGATGCCGTTATCATTCATTATATAATACTGAGTGATGCCGTTATCATTCATTATATAATACTGAGTGATGCCGTTATCATTCATTATATAATACTGAGTGACGCCGTTATCATTCATTATATAATACTGAGTGACGCCGTTATCATTCATTATATAATAGTGACGCCGTTATCATTCATTATATAATACTGAGTGACGCCGTTATCATTCATTATATAATACTGAGTGACGCCGTTATCATTCATTATATAATACTGAGTGACGCCGTTATCATTCATTATATAATACTGAGTGACGCCGTTATCATTCATTATATAATACTGAGTGACGCCGTTATCATTCATTATATAATACTGAGTGACGCCGTTATCATTCATTATATAATACTGAGTGACGCCGTTATCATTCATTATATAATACTGAGTGACGCCGTTATCATTCATTATATAATACTGAGTGACGCCGTTATCATTCATTATATAATACTGAGTGACGCCGTTATCATTCATTATATAATACTGAGTGACGCCGTTATCATTCATTATATAATACTGAGTGACGCCGTTATCATTCATTATATAATACTGAGTGACGCCGTTATCATTCATTATATAATACTGAGTGACGCCGTTATCATTCATTATATAATACTGAGTGACGCCGTTATCATTCATTATATAATACTGAGTGATAGCATTATCATTCATTATATAATACTGAGTGATGCCGTTATCATTCATTATATAATACTGAGTGATGCCGTTATCATTCATTATATAATACTGAGTGATGCCGTTATCATTCATTATATAATACTGAGTGATGCCGTTATCATTCATTATATAATACTGAGTGATGCCGTTATCATTCATTATATAATACTGAGTGACGCCGTTATCATTCATTATATAATAGTGACGCCGTTATCATTCATTATATAATACTGAGTGACGCCGTTATCATTCATTATATAATACTGAGTGACGCCGTTATCATTCATTATATAATACTGAGTGACGCCGTTATCATTCATTATATAATACTGAGTGACGCCGTTATCATTCATTATATAATACTGAGTGACGCCGTTATCATTCATTATATAATACTGAGTGACGCCGTTATCATTCATTATATAATACTGAGTGACGCCGTTATCATTCATTATATAATACTGAGTGACGCCGTTATCATTCATTATATAATACTGAGTGACGCCGTTATCATTCATTATATAATACTGAGTGACGCCGTTATCATTCATTATATAATACTGAGTGACGCCGTTATCATTCATTATATAATACTGAGTGACGCCGTTATCATTCATTATATAATACTGAGTGACGCCGTTATCATTCATTATATAATACTGAGTGACGCCGTTATCATTCATTATATAATACTGAGTGACGCCGTTATCATTCATTATATAATACTGAGTGACGCCGTTATCATTCATTATATAATACTGAGTGACGCCGTTATCATTCATTATATAATACTGAGTGACGCCGTTATCATTCATTATATAATACTGAGTGACGCCGTTATCATTCATTATATAATACTGAGTGACGCCGTTATCATTCATTATATAATACTGAGTGACGCCGTTATCATTCATTATATAATACTGAGTGACGCCGTTATCATTCATTATATAATACTGAGTGACGCCGTTATCATTCATTATATAATACTGAGTGACGCCGTTATCATTCATTATATAATACTGAGTGACGCCGTTATCATTCATTATATAATACTGAGTGACGCCGTTATCATTCATTATATAATACTGAGTGACGCCGTTATCATTCATTATATAATACTGAGTGACGCCGTTATCATTCATTATATAATACTGAGTGACGCCGTTATCATTCATTATATAATACTGAGTGACGCCGTTATCATTATATAATACTGAGTGATAGCATTATCATTCATTATATAATACTGAGTGACGCCGTTATCATTCATTATATAATACTGAGTGACGCCGTTATCATTCATTATATAATACTGAGTGACGCCGTTATCATTCATTATATAATACTGAGTGACGCCGTTATCATTCATTATATAATACTGAGTGACGCCGTTATCATTCATTATATAATACTGAGTGACGCCGTTATCATTCATTATATAATACTGAGTGACGCCGTTATCATTCATTATATAATACTGAGTGACGCCGTTATCATTCATTATATAATACTGAGTGACGCCGTTATCATTCATTATATAATACTGAGTGACGCCGTTATCATTCATTATATAATACTGAGTGACGCCGTTATCATTCATTATATAATACTGAGTGATGCCGTTATCATTCATTATATAATACTGAGTGATAGCATTATCATTCATTATATAATACTGAGTGATGCCGTTATCATTCATTATATAATACTGAGTGATGCCATTATCATTCATTATATAATACTGAGTGATACAAGTTGGGTCTGTTCCTTGTTGCGGTGAGGAAGAACTCGCCCCATGGGAACTGTGGGTCATCTCCGTAAGAGAGCGTTAGAGGACACTGAGCATGGGGTTAGCACTCTTGTTAGTGATCTTGGGGAGCATTGAAGGACGCAGAGCTTTGCTTAGGTTGCCCGCTCCTGAGAAGCAGGGCTGATTCTACAATGGCTGTGGCGATAAGTCCCGTCCAGCAGGGGCAGACCAGAGCCATTCACATTAGCCAGGGGAGGGATTTGCGGTATTAATATTCTTGTGGCTAGCACAGTGACCTTGTTTCTGTCGGTGCTCAGAAAAGATTACAGATTATCTTGTTTTTTCCTCATTTCATCACAATTACAGAGTGGCATTGTCTGGTGTTTGGTGCGCTCCTGTGGAGCGTTTTATGTTCCTAGTGGAAAGCCTGGCTGAGAGCTCCAGGCCAGGTTTGAATTGTCAGGGGTGCTTTTCTCTTTTCCAGTATTTTTCAGCATGATGAATAATAAAATAATGTGCTTACTATTTAGAGAAGAAGCAGCCCTCTTCATTTTTATTTTTCAGAGACAAAGTCTCACTATATTGCCCACACGGGTCTCAAACTCCTGGCTGTAAGTGGTTCTCCTGCCTCAGCCTCCCAAGTAGCTGGGACTCCGGGGGATTTCTAGTGTGCTACCAAGCCCAGATAATTTTTTTTTTAATGTGTTGTAGAGATAGGGATGGGGTGGGGGCCGTCTCCTTACGTTGCCCAGGCTAGTCTTGAACCCCTGGCCTCCAGCAATCTTTCTGCCTTGGCCTCCCAAAGTGAGATTTCAAGTGTGAGCCAATGCACCCAGCCAGAAACAGACCTCTTATAAAAAATAAAGAATTTGTAGTAAGCAAATAAGCTGAGGCCTATGTTCACCTTCAGTTGATAGGTGAAGATCATTCTAAGTGAATGATCTAAAAGGTCATTTCTAAATTAACGAAGAAATCACAAAGATTGGTACTTGAACATAATATCTGTTTATCAAAATACCAGTGCATCAAACGGAGAGAAAAGCCCAGTCATCACACATTACGTCAAGTAAGAGCTAAGGGAAGTACAAAACCACGTTCTTCTGTCTTGTGACCTCTTCCCAGCACCCGCGGCCAGTTTCTTGTCCTTGGCCTTCAGCCCTCACATCTCCTCAAGGCTTCTACTTGGTGATATCCATCCCACCCTCCTGCTGTCCCTGCTCCTGCTCTCTTTGTAATCGGCCCACACTGCTCCAACAGCACAGACCTCATCCTGCATTCTGGGTACACACTCCAGGGCCGAGTCTCCCTTGCCTTTATCTTACCTTCCACTTACTGGACGCAGAGCTCTACTGCCGCTGCTGACTAGCAGGGGCAGTGGGCATCTTTCTCAGCTCTTTTTCTTGGGGCAGAAAAATCTCCAATGGAGGGGAGGGAAGAAAAGGGGAAGGGAGAGTCTGTTCCCTGGGGTTTGACACCCAACAGTTCTCTGACCTCAAGCCCATCGTCTGGCCCTGGCAGCTCCTGAGATTTTCTGATTCTTGTTCTGAAACTCCATACAGCAGATTTAACAATAGATAAGTAAATACTAGCCCTTAGCACTGATCCCCCAGGACCGACACGGGCAGGAGTCCTTGTAGCTCAAAGAGCAGCAGCTGGCGGGGGCGCTGAGTAAGGCCGTTTTGGAGTGGAAGACTGGATTTGGAAGTCAGGGAGCCTCGTGTTGCATTGCAGCTGGAAAACAGGTGCAAATGGAGAACTGAGTGGGCTGAAAGAAGCAATAATCTGCTCCAGAAAAGTGATGGGAGGATCAGGTGCCACTCACTGAGTCTTCACTGGGAGGCACACAATATCCTCACTAGCACATAATGCCAGAGACCGTGGCTCCACATCCGGACCTCTGTCGAGCAGGGCTGCCCTTTGGCCTTGTTCTTTCTTCCCTGTCTACACTCCCGCACTTCCCCCCGCTGCCCCCAGCTCCCCAGAACTGTGAGGAAATGTGCAGTGGTGATGACTCTCAGCCCCTCTCTTCTCCCTGCAGCTTCTAACAGAGTCCACCTGAGTCAGACTCACCCAGGCCCTGTTACACTTGCGGGTTCCAGGACTCCACCGCAGACCGCCTGAATAAGTATCTGGGGTGCAGCCTGGGATCTGTGTTTATGACAAGATCTCACGTGATATCTAAGTGTGAAGACCAGGCTTGAGTGCCGCCTGCTGCTGGGGCTTCCCAAGCTGTGCCCACCCTGGCTGTTCCCACCCGCCACCTGTCCTGGAGCCTTGCCTACTGAATTTCTTGCCGTCTTTCTGTGGCTGGAGCTCCTTGACAGCAGCTTTGTCTTGGTGCCCAGTGCCTGGAACTCAGTGGGCCCTGAGTTAATGTTTGCCTTTCCTGCCTGTGTGTGGGGGAGGTGGGGGAGTGAGCTGGTGGGGGAGCACAGGTAGCTGTATTTTTGTGACTGGTCAACTCACACAGTGGCTCAGCGCCCTGCTGGAGGGGGCCCATCCCGCTCCACAGTCTGGAGGAGATGCCGAGCCTGCAAATAAAACATGTCAGTGACAGCCCTTGGGGCGGGACAGGGCCCCATTTGAAAGCAGAAACAGAATCCCTGGTGAAAGTGGTTTAAATTGGAGAAGAACGTGCTGGGATTCAGTATAGAGTTCCACGTGGCTGTAAAACCAGCTGAACATCCTCAGGGTGGCAAGAAGGCAGTAGAATGGCGCCCAGAGTAGCATTTGAGTACACGTTCCACTTGAGCCAAGGGACAGGGCTTTTGCTGTGCTCAAACAGAATTCTCCAACTCCCCAGTGTAAATCTGGGCAGCACTGACCAGCGCGCATCCTGAATGGTTTTGGGATGAGGTGATGGCCATTCTGCTTTATTCTACAGAGGCTTAAGGTGTCAGGGATCCCACAAGCTCTAAGGGTACATCAAAGTGGATTTAGCCTGAGGTGGGCTGGGAGACCAGGTGGGAGCTAGTGCTGCAATCCAGGTGCAAATGATGGTGTCTTGGACCCGGTGATAAGAAGTGGCCTCCTGAACTCATTTGGAGGGTAAAGCTGGCAGAATTTGCTGACAGTCTAGATTGGGGTGTGACAAAGGCGTTAAGGGTGATACCAGGGCCGTGTGTGTCCTGAGCAATGGGAAGAATGACGTGCGTTACCGTTACCCACAAGGGTGAGGAGCGGGCGGGCTGGGGGAGGGAGCAGCAGGGGCCTCTTGTGTGCGGGTTAGGCTTGCAACGCCGCTTAGACATACTAGTTTCTCTTGCCACCCTCTCCAAGCCACTACCCCCTGTTGCCAAGCCTGAGAAATGACCTAACCCATCTCCCCACACTCAATTTTTTACATCCAGCCCGTCCGTGTTCTAACTTCTGTATTCTGAAAGAGTGCTCAAAAGTCAAAGTCTGATTTGAACTGCGGGTGTGGCCAGTCTTCCATGGTCTCCTGTTGCCCTTGAGGGAATGCCTGGCTTCCTTCGTGTGGTTCACAGACCTTCGTAGTCCAGCCTTGCTGTGACTTCAGCTTCTTTCTGCATTTCCTGCCTCCCCGGCACTGATTGCATTTCCCTGTCCCTGGCGCTTTCTCCACATTGAGCTAACTCCTCGTTCTTCAGGCCTCTCGTCCTCCCAGGACCCTCTCTGTCCCCACTCGGTCCCCCGCTCAGGTAGGGATCCTGTCGCGTTGTGCACCCTTCACCCCCCCGGTTCCGAGCCCGCAGGCTCCTGCTATTTCAGCAGCTGGTGTCTCGTCTGTGTTCACACTGGATCCTTGGCCCCCAGGCACAGGGCCTGGTGCTTTCTAGGCTTTGGGAACACAAGTTAAGTCCTGAAACAGATGGATTTGCCAAGTACCGGCTGCTAGGTGAAGCCTCTTCTCTGAAGGTGGGATCCAAGTGGTCCACCGGGCCCTCTGCTGTGTCTGAGGTCTGGTGAGCCCAGCGGCACTCTGTGTCCACCTTGCCAGATTCTTCAGAGCTGTTTGAGCTGCCACATGGCTCCCTGCAATCCTCCCCCTTTGCAGTCAGAACCACTGCCGTGTTTCTCTCCGAATTCTGTGGTGACTCCCTCTTCCCATAGTTCTGGAACGATTTATGAGTGGTTGTGAGTATGGGGCCATGGGATCCTAGCCCTCCTTCCTCTAAGCTTTTGGAAAGCTGCTTTCCCCAAATTTGGCTACCATTTGTCTTATTAATAGACTTTATTTTCTGGATCACTTTTGGGTTTACAGAAAATTGAGCTGACAGTACAGAAAGTTCCTATTTACCCTTTTTTTCCCCAACTCCCAGTTTTCCATTATTAACATCTTGAATTAGTATGGTACTTTTGTTAGAACTGATGAACCTGCGTTGATACGCTAGTATTAACTAAACAAGTATTAACTAAACTCCGTGGTTTACATTAGAGTTTATTCTTTTGTTACAAAGTCTTTTGCTAAGTGCAAAATGCCATGTATCCACCATTATAGTATCATACAGAATAGTTTCAATGCTCAGACCATCTCTTGCACTCTACCTATTATCCATGCATTTTCCTTGAACCGGGGCAACCGCGGATCTTTTTACTATTTCTATAATTTTGCGTTTTCCAGTATTTCGTGTAATTGAAACTATACAGTATGCAGTTTTTAGACTGGCTTCTTTCCCTTAGTAACATGCATTTATGGTTCCTCCGTGTCTTTTCATAGCTTGAGAGATCATTAATTTTATTGCTGAATAATATTCCATTATGAGGACAGAGCACAATGTGTTGATTCACCTTTTGAAGTGTATCTTGGTTACCTCCAGTTTTTGGCAATTATGAATAAAGCTACTATAAACATTCATGTTCAGATGCTTATATGGGCAAATGTTTCAACTCATTTGAGTAACTACCTAGGAGCATAATTGCTGGCTCATATGGCAAGGTTATGTTTAGCTGTGTAAAAAGCTGTCAGACTGTCTTCAGGTGACTATCGCTTGCCCCGTGCATGTCAGCATTTGGTGTTTGTCATTGTTTTAGATTTTAGCCATTTTTACATGTAGTGAAATCTCATTGTTTTAATTTGCAATTCTCTAATAATGAATGATATCAAGCATCTTTTCATATGTTCATTTGCCATCTGTACATTTTCTTTGGTGAGACGTCTCTTCAGATCTTTTGATCATTATTTTTATTCTTTGAGACAGAGTCTTGCTCTGTTGCCTAGGCTGGAGAGCAGTGGTGTAATCATAGCTCACTGTAGCCTCCAATTCCTGGGCTCAAGCGATCCTCCCTACTCAGCCTCCTGAGTATCTGGGACCACAAGCATATGCCACCATGCCCAGCTAATTTTTTATTTTTTTGTAGACCTGGGGTCTCGCTGTGTTGTGCAGGCCAGTCTCAAACTCCTGGCTTCAAGCAATCCTCCCGCCTCAGCCTCCCAAAGTGCTGGGATTACAGGTGTGAGCCACCACACCAGCCTGCATATTTTTTAATTGAATTGTTTTCTTATTGTTCAGTTTTTTTTGTTTTGTTTTGTTTTATTTTATGAGACAGAATCTTGCTCTTTCACCCAGCTTAAAGTACAGTGGCATGATCATGGCTTGCTGCAGCTTGCAACTCCCGGGCTCAAGTGTTCCTCCTGCCTCAGCCTCCTGAGTAGCTAGGACTATAGGCAAGTGTCACCACACACAGCACATTTAAAAAAAAAAATTTTCTCCCTATGTTTCTCAGGCTGATCTGGAACTCCTGGGCTCAAGTGAACCTTCCAACTCAGCCTCCCTAAGTGCTGGTATTGCTGGTTAATACAAGTGCCTCGTTAGATATGTATTCAGCAAATATTCTCTCCCGGTCTGTGCCTTGTCATTCCATTTCCCTAACAATGTCTTTGCAGAGCAGAAGTTTTTAAGTTCAGTGAAGTCCAACATACCCGTTTTTCTTCATAGATCATGGATCATGCTTTGAAAAACTTCCCCAGATTTTCCCCGGGTTCTCTTGTAAAAGTTTTGTAGTTTTGCATGTTAAATTTAGGTCTATAATCCATTTTGAGTTCATTTCTGTGAGAGGTGTAAGATCAGTGTCTGGATTCATGTTTTTTTCCTTTTTTTTTTTTTTTGGCACATGCATGCCTAAATATTCCAGCATCATTTCTTGAAAAGACCATACATTATCTGTTGAATTGCTTTTAATTCCTGTCAAAATATCAGTTAAGTATATTTGTGTGGATCTGTTTGTTCTCTATTCTTCTTCATTGATCTAGCTGTCTATTCCTTTGCCAACACTATACTTTCTTGATTATTGTAGCTTTATAGTAAGCCTTTAGGTAGTATTAGTCTTCCAACTTATTTCTTCTTCAATACTGTGTTGGCTCTCCTGGGTCTTTTGCCTTTTCATATAATGTTTAGAATCAGTTTGTCAGTATTTATAAAATAACCTGCTGGGATTTTGATTGGATTACATTGAATCTGTAGATGAAATTAGGAAGGATTGGCATCTTTAAAAGATTGAGCTTTCCTATCCATGAACATGGAATATCTTTCCATTTACTTAGAACTTTTTTTGATTTCATTAGATTTCCTTATATGGACCTTGTACCCATTTTTTTGATTTATTATTAAGTACTTTTTAAGTGCTAATGTTAGTGTTATTGTATTTTTAATTTTTAAATCCCAATTGTTTATTGCTGGCATATAGTAAAGCAATTGACTTTTGTTTATTAACTTTGTGTCCTGTATTTTAAAACTTATGATCTTTAAAATGGAGAGCAACCCTTCAATGATTAGGAGAGACACAAAATAGAAATAAAGATTTTATTACTTATAGGTTCTGGTAGTATATGACATGCTTGGAGGCCCCCCACACAGAGAGGTTAGTTTAGGGAGTACAGGCAGGGAGAAAGAATGCAGAAATTAGAAGTGTATGTTGGAGAATACACTGTGGGTGGCTTTAAGTTCAAGGGCAAATACCTGAATGGTCCATTTAAAGGAAGCGGTGGGAAAGTGGGGAGCCCAGTCAACTAGGCAGAAGAGGTTCCTCCAAGGTTTTTATCCTTGGCCACTGGCTTGGGCCATTAGGGTGTGGTGTTCTTCTAATACGTAGGCAGAAACCTCTGCTGTGTCAATACCATTGAAATTGACCCTGTAATGTCTAGGCATTAGACCTTGTGCCTTATCATGGGTGCCATTTGAGTAGCAGAGACACTAAAGGCTACTGGAGAAACCTGAGTCAGGCATCTGATGAGCATAATTAAACAAGCAGTCCGAAGGTACCCACTATGACTTGAAATCTCACGTGCAGCCATCCATCCCACTACATAGAGTATGCAGGGCTAGTCGAGTGGGCTGTATGTAGCTGTGCCATGCGGAGGTGGGCACCGGGAGGCAGCTGTGCACAGCAGATATCTGGACTGACCACCTTGAGGAACTGGGAGGAGATGTAGAACCTGAAAACTGTGTCAAGGGTGACTGAGCTCTCCTTCCGGCATAGGAAAGTTAAACTTCCCTGAAAAATGGGTGCTGAGGCAACATAAAATTATGATAATTCACTACATAGTAATCTTGCTGTAATCTGGCTGGTGCAGTGGCTGATGCCTGTAATCCCAGCACTTTGGGAGGCCGAGGCAGGCAGATCACCTGAAGTCAGGAATTCACGACCAGCCTTGCCAACATGGTAAAACCTGGTCCCTGCTAAAATGACAAAAATTAGCTGGGCGTGGTGGATCGTGCCTGTAATCCCAGCTACTCTGGAGGCTGAGGCAGGAGAATCGCTTGAACCCAGGAGGCAGAGGTTGCAGTGAGCCAAGATCAAGCCACTGCACTCCAGCCTGGGCAATAGAGTGAGACTCCATCTCAAAAAAAAAAAAAAAAAAGAAAGAAAAGAAAAGAAAAAATCTTGCTATAATCATCTGCTAGTTCAGGAGTTTTTGGTCAATACTTTGGTATTTTCTACATAGACAATCATGTCATCTGTGAAGAAAGACAGTTTCTTTTTTCCCCCTGATCTGTATAGCTTTAATTTCCTTTTTAAAATCTTCTTGCATTAGTTAGGACTTCAGTACAATGTTGAATAAGAATGATAGTAGGGGACATCCTTGCTCCTGATCTTAAGGAGAGAACACCTAGTTTCTCACTAACCATTAAGTATGATGTTAGCTAGTTTTTTTTCTGTGGATGTTTCTGTGTGTGTGTGTGTGTGTGTGTGTGTGTGTGTCTTTCTTTTTAGAGATGGAATCTCTCTATGTTGCCCAGGCTGATCTCAAACTCCTGGCCTCAAGCAATCCTTCTGCCTTGGCCTCCCAAAGTGCTGGGATTTTAGGCATGAACCAGCATGCTCTGCCTATAGATGTTCTTTATCAATTTGAGGAATTCCCCTCTATCCTAGTTTACTGAGAGTTTGTATCATAACTAGGTGTTGAATTTTGTCAAATGCTTTTCTGCATCTATTTATGTGATCATATGATTTTTCTTGCTTAGCCTGGTGATGGCATGAATTACATAGTTTTTTGTTTGTTTGTTTTTTTCGAGAGAGGGTCTCACTCTGTCGTCCAGGCTGGAATGCAGTGGCACGATCAGGACTCACTGCAGCCTCGGCCTCCCGGGCTCAAGACTTCCTCCTGCCTCAGCCCCGAGTAGCTGGGACTACAGGGATATGCCACCATGCGTGGCTAATTTTTTGTATTTTTTAGTAGAGACAGGGTTTCGCCATGTTGGCCAGGCTGGTCTGGAACTCCTGAACTTAAGTGATCTGGCTGCCTCAGCCTCCCAAAGTGCTGAGATTATAGGTGTGAACCATCTTGCCCGGCCTTGATTTGATTTAATACATATGAGTCTTTTCATATTGTCTCTTTTCTTAGTGTGAATTTCGGTAGATTGTATCTTTTAAGGAATTAGTCTATTTCATCCAAGTTATCAAATTTGTGAGCATAGTTGTTGAACATATTTTATTATACTTTTAATGTCCCTGAGATCAGTAGTAATGTCCCATTTTTCATTTCTGATATTAGCAATTTATGTCCTTTCTCTGTTTTTTGTTAGCCTCACTGTAAGTTACCAATTTTACTGGTCTTTTCAAAGAACCAGCTTTTGATTTTATTGATTTTTTTTTTTCTATTTGTCTTTGTTTTCAATTTCATTGATTTTTGCTCTAATTTTTATTATTTCTTTTTTTCTGCTTTTTCCAGGCTTATAGTATGCTTTTTTCTCTGGTTTTCTAAGATGGAAGCTTAGATTATTGATTTTAGATCTTTGTTCCTTTCTGATATAGGCATTTAATGCTATAAATTTTCCTTGTAGCACTGCTTTCACTACGTCCTATACATTTTAGTAAGTTCTATTTTCATATTTCATTCAGGTGAAAACATTTTTAATTTATCCTGAGACTTTGACCTATGTATTATTTAGAAGTGTCTTATTTAATCTCCAAATATTTGAGAAACTTCCAGCTATCTGTTACTGATTTCTAGTTTTTATCCATTGTGGTGCAAGAGCATACTTTGTATATTTTTCTTTTAAATTTTTTGAGGTGTTTTTTATGGCCTAGAATGTGATTTATTTTCTGAATATTCTATGTAAACTTGAAAAGAATGTGTATTCTGCTGTCAGTGGATGAATATTCTGTAATTGTCAAGTTCAGTTATTTGATGGTTGAGTTCAACTATGGTTGAGTTGTTTGACATATTACCTTCTGCCTCATGTATTTGGACAATCTCTTCATAGGGGAACACATTAAGAATTGTTGTGTTTTAATGGAAATTGACCTCTTTGTAATGTCATGCTTCTATTTATCCCTGATAATTTTTGTTCTGAAGTCTGCCTTGTTTGAAATTAATATGGCTACTCCAGGATTTTCTTGATTTGTGTTAGCATTATATATTTTCATTCATCCCTTTATTCTTTATCTGCGTCTTTATATTTAAAGTGAATTTCTTGTAGACAACATGTAGTTGAGTCTCATTATCTACTCCGTGAGTCTCTACCTTTTAACTGGTGTATTTAAACCATTTATATTTAAAGCGGTTATTGGTATAGTTGGATTAATATCTACCACATTTGTAACTTTTTTATTCATTCACTTGTTCTTCACTTCTTTTTTTAAAAACCTTTCTTTCCTTCTGTCTTCCAGTTTTAACTGAGCATTTTGTATTATTTTATTTTCTCTCATCTCTTAGCATAGCAATTAAACTTCTTTTTAAAATAATTTAGGCTGGGTTTGGTGGCTCATGCCTAGAATTCCAACACTTTGGAAGATTAAGGTAGGAGGATGGCTTGAACCCAGGAGTTCAAGACCAGCCTGGGCAATAGAGTGAGACCCTATCTCTATTTAAAAAAATTAAGGCTTCCTTAGGGTTTTCAGGATACTTTTGCAACAAACTTATGGGTAATTTTTGTTGTTTATTTTTGAAATAAGGTCTTGCTCTGTCACCTAGGCTTGAGTGCAGTGCTGCAATAATAGCTCACTGCAGCCTTGAACTCCTGGGCTCCAGCAGCCCTCTCACCTCAGCCCCTCAAGTAGCTGAGACTAAGGTATGCACCACCATGCCCAGCTAATTTTTTAAAAACAATTTTTGTACAGATGGGATCTCATTATGTTGCCCAGGATGGTCTCAAACTCCTGGGCTCATGCAGCCTTCCTGCTTTGGCCTCCCAAATTGCTGAGATTACAGGCATGAGCCACTGCACCTGGCTAGTTTATAAGTAATTTAAATCCATTCTCAAGTCCACTTCATGGGTAGTGTGGGTACTTTATAACAGAAGCATTCACATTGCTATCATTCATTTAACTTATCCATAAGCTATATTTACCCAGAACATTTTTGCTATTATTATTTTGAAGTTATTTATTAGGTCAATTAATAATAAGAAAAATTAAGGTTTTATTTTACCTTCATTTATTCTTTATCTAACACACTTCCCTTCCTTATGTAGCTCCAAGTTTCAGAAATATAACATTTTCCTTCTCTCTGAAGAACTTTAACACTTCTTACAAGACGGGTCTACCGGCAACAAATTCCCTCAGTTTTTGTTTGTCCGAGAAAGCCCTTAACTCTCCTTCATTTTCTAAAAATTTTTGTTTATTTTCTATTGTATATATTTCAAGCATACAACATGATGTTTTCATATATACAAACATAGTGAAATTATTTACTATAGTCAAGCAAATGAACCCATCCATCACTTTACATAGTTACATTTTGTATGGTAGGAGCATCTAAAATCTACTCTTAGCAAAATTTCAGTATACAATATTATTAACTGTAGTCCTCATACAGTGTGTTAGATATCTAGACTTGTTTATTTTATATAACAGCAAGTTTGCACCCTTTGACCAATGTCTCCCAATTTTCTCCCACATCTTGGCCCCTGGTAACCACTGTTCTACATTTAGATCTTTAATTCATTTTGAGTTGATTTTTGTATATGGTGAGAGATAAAGTCTAATCTCATTCTTTTGCACATGAATATACAGTTGCTTCAACATCATTTATTGAAAAGATTGTCCTTTCCCTATTGTGAGTTCTTGGCATCTTTGTTGAGAACCAATTGACTGTAAATACATAAAACTTATTTCAAGGCTCTCTAGTCAGTTCAATATGTCTGGTTTTATGTCAGTACCATGCTGTTTTAATTACTACAGCTTTGTAGTATGTTTTGAAGTCAGGTAGTGTGATGCCTCTAGCTTTGTTCTTTTTAAGATTCCTTTGGTTATTTGGGGTCTTTTGTGGTTCCATATGAATTTTAGGATTTTTTTTTCTATTTCTGTGAAGAATGTTATTGGAATTTTATAGGAATTATATTGAATCTGTAGATTGCTTTCGGTAGTATAATAATTTTCACAATATTCTTCTAATTCATGAACATGGGATATCTTTTTATTTCTGTGGTCTTTAATTTATTTCATCAATGTTATATAGTTGATGTACAAATCTTTCACTTCCTTGGGAAAATTTATTTTTACGTATTTTGGGGGGTAGCTATTGTAAATGGCTTGATTTCCTTTTTTGACAGTTTATTGTTAATAAATAGAAATGCTGTTGATTTCTGCTGGGCGCAGTGGCTCACGCCTGTAATCCCAGCAGTTGGGAGGCCAAGGCAGGTGGATCATGAGGTCAGGAGTTTGAGGCCAGCCTGACCAACGTGGTGAAACCCTATCTGTACTGAAAATACAGGTGGTGCACACCTGTAATCCCACCTACTTGGGAGGATGAGGCAGGAGAATCACTTGAACCCAGAAGGTGGAGGTTGCAGTGAGCCAAGATCGCACCACTGCACTCCAGCCTGGGCAACAGAGTGAGACTGTGTCTCCAAAAAAAAAAAAAAAAAAAAAAATGCTGTTGATTTTTTATGTTGATTTTCGTAGCCTGCAAGTCTACTGAATTTATTTATTAGTTCTAACCATTTTTTAATGACGTCCCTAGGGTTTTCTACATATAGAATATGTCATCTACAAACAGGGATAACTTAATTCTTCCTTGCCTATTTGTTTGTTTTGTTTGTTTGTTTTTTGAGAAAAGGTCTTGCTCTGTTGCCCAGGATGGAGTACAGTGGCGTAATGTTGGCTCACTGCAACCTCTGCCTCCTGGGCTCAAGTGATCCTCCCACTTCAGCCTCCTGAGTAGCTGGGACTACAGGCATGTGCCACTATGCCCAGATAGTTTTTGAATTTTTTTGTAGAGACAGGGTTTCATCATATTGCCTAGGCTGGTCTCAAACTCCTGGGCTCAAGCGATCTGCTCACCTTAGCTTCCCGAAGTGCTGGGATTACAGGTGTGAGCCATCGCACCAGCATTCCTTTCTGATTTGGATGCCTTTTGTTTCTTGTGCTTTTTAACTAGAAGTGGCAAGTGTGGATCCTTGCCTTGTACGGAATCAAATCTTTTTCTGCATCTATGGAGATGATTTGGTATTTATTTCCCTTTTATTCTGTTGATGTGATGTATCACATTGATTGATTTGCATATGTTAGACTAACCTTGCATCCCAAGAATAAATCCTACTTCCTTCTTCACTTTTGAAGAATAATTTCACTGAATATAGGTTTCTAGGGTGGCATTTTTTTTCTTGTAACACTTAAATATTTCACTACTCACTTGTTGTTTGCATGGTTTACAATAGGAATTCCGATATAATTCTTATCCTTGTTCTTCTACCAGTAGGGTGTTCCCCCCCCAACAACCTTCCTGCACCTTTTCAGCTTCTTTCATGGTTTCCCTTTTTGTCCTTGGTTTTGATTATTATATATCTAGGTAAAGCGTTTTTGTTTTTTATTCTACTTAGTATTCTCTGATCTTCCTGGATCTGTAGTTTGGTGTCTGACACTAATTGTGGGAAATTTGTAGCCATTATTACTTCAAATCCCTCCCCTCCCTTCCTCTCCCCTTCCCTTCCCTTCCCTCTTTCCTCGTCCCGTCTTTCTCTATTGCCCAGATTGGAGTGCACTGGTACAAACATGGCTCACTGCAGCCTGGACCTCCTGGGCTCAACCGACCCTCCCAGCTCAGCCGTCCAAATATCTGGGACCACAGGCACGTGCCATCATGACTGGCTATTTTTTTACTTTTACTTTTTGTAGAGACAGGGTCTCAGTATGTTTCCCAGGTTGGTCTCAAACTCAAGCAATCCTCCTGCCTCAGCCTCCCAAAATGTTGGGATTACAGGCGTGAGCAACGACACCTGGCCCTGCTCTGGCTTTTTTCCCGCTGTTTTCTCGTACTTCAGTTTGGGAAGTTTCTATTGAGATATTCTCTGTAGCAAATTCTCTTTTGAGATATTCTTAAGTTCAGAGATTCTTTCCTCAGCTATACCCAGGCTACAACTAAGTCCATTAAAGGCATTCTGCATTTCTGTTATGGGGTTTTCATTTCTAGTGTTTCTTTTTAAAATTAAAAAAAAATATTTTTGGAAATTAATTTTTTTTCCTTTTTTGAGATGGAGTCTTGCTCTGTTGCCCAGTCTGGAGTGTAATCATGCTATCTCGCCTCACTGCAACATCTGCCTTCCAGGTTCAAGTGATTACCTTGCCTCATTCTCCCGAGTAGCTGGGATTACAGGAACCCGTCACTATGCCCAGCTAATTTTCGTATTTTTAGTAGAGACGGGGTTTCACCAGGTTGGCCAGGCTGGTCTTGAACTCCTGACCCCAGGTGATACACCCACCTCAGCCTCCCAAAGTGCTGGGATTAGAGGTGTGAACCATCACACCTGGCATTTTTTTTTCTTTTTTAATAGAAACAAGGTCTCACTTTGTGGCCTAGGCTGGTCTCGAACTCCTGGACTCAAGCTTCCCAAAGTGTTGGGATTACAGGTGTGCACCACCGCAGCCAGCCTCTTTTTATTTTATTCTTTCTCAGAGTTTCAATCTTTCTACTTATATTATCCATTGTTCTTTATATTGTCTGCTTTTTTCATTAGCATCCTTAGCATGTTGATCATACTTATTTTAAGTGCCTGTTCTGATAATTCCAAAATTATTGCCATATCTGAATCTGGTTCTCCTGCTTTCTTTTCCTCTTTAGATTGTTTTCTGTTACACTTTAGCGTGCCTTGTACATTTTTGTTGAAAACCAGACATGATGTATTGGGTAATAGGAACTTAGATATATTGGCTTATAGGGAGATGGTTGGTGTTTATCTCGCTAGGAGAATTATGCTGTGTTTACTATTTGCTGTAGCTGTAGGTGTCTGAGGCTCCAATTTCCTCTAGTGTTGCATTTGCCTCCTCTGGAAAGCCCTTCTGAAATAGTCTGAGCCTTGCAGTTCTCTACTGTGATCCCCCGTTGCTGTACAGGGGACCTGCTGCCGTGGAGGTGGGAGGTGGGGAGGGGAGTATTCCCCCATCTTGTGATTAGGTCTCAGTGGTTCTGTGGTCTCTGCTCTTGCTGTATGACCTCCGCAAGTGCTGCTCAGCTCCCCTCCCACTTAGATGTGGCAGGGTGGCTATAGGGGCTGGCGTTGGGTCATCGACCCTCCCTGGGTCAGGTCAGGCTTTCGTCTAGACTCCCACGTGTGTCAGCCTTTGTTGCAGGGAACTGGAGGAGAACAGAATGCTCTGCTGCATTTCCAAATGGTTGCTTTTCCTCTGCCCTGGCTGGAGGCATGAGATTTCCCTCCAATCCTCACAGTGGGGACCTGCTGGGGCCCCTGGACATAAAACTCAAGAAAGTGTGGGAGCCCTCAAGGCTGGGGTTTTTAACTCTAACTGGTCCAGCCTCTGCCTCCAGCAGCTGGTTTATTTCAGTCTAGTTGTTCCTGCTCGTTCTGGCTCCAGGGAGGCTTCTCCTCTCAGGCTTCTGCTCATGGTGAGCTGTGATGTTTTGTATCAGCCTCTCTCTCTCCAGTTTTCAGGGCAGCAGTTTGCCCTGTGATTTATGAGGAGCTATTGTATTTTACTTTGTTCAGTTGTTTTCTTGTAAGTGTGGGAGTGATGCCGCTGAGCTCTTCATATGGCAGAGCAAAAATCAGAAGTCTAGGATGCCTTTTTACTATGCTAGAGGTTCCCTCCCATGACGGTCAACAGAGAAACCTAATTATACTTCAGCATTTTCTCTGCACTGACCTTGCTTAGTTTCGTGATCTCCGTCCATCCTCCTGCTTCTCCGACACACTGAGAGTAACTTGTTCAGCAAGAAGGTGACAGTTAAAAGCTGTGGTCAGACGCACTAAGTCTCTGGCCCTACAGTGAGCTCTCAGTTAGTAATAGATGACAGTTGGGCTCCAGCTTGTGTGGGGTTCACCCTTCCAAAACCAGCCTCGGGCCCAACAAAGACCCAGCCAATGCCAGTGCTGCCCAGCTCACCTGCTGCTTCCCTGTTTCCCAGTTCCAGGGCTCCCCCAGGGCCCCTGCTGACCAGCTCTTTTCCAAGGCTACACTCCACGGGAGGACTGGAGAACATCTCAGGGAGGCAGCCACAGCCGCCACTGCGTGGGGCCCCAGCAATGACATGGTTTTGGACCTTTGTCTACAAAATCTTCGCATTGTTACTGGGAACAGAGGTGAGAGGTCCTCAGCCTGATGTGGACTGTGGCAGCCGGTACTCAGGGGTCCGCTGGCTAGAGGAGGAGCCCCCTAAGTCTCATCAGTGTGGAGGATCCCCTGAGCCTTGGCCCCTGATGGACTGAATTCTGGGCCTTGGAAGCAGCACAGTTCCCAGACACTGCACTTCCTGGAGCCAGGGTAGACAAAGATCCTGGGAAGGAAAAAGAAAGGAAGTGGAGTTGTTGGGAGGCCTGGCCCGGGCCTACAGATTCCAAACCAGAGGCTCCCATCCTGGAGTTAGGGTGGAAGAGCACCAGCATTATTAAACTTGAAACAATTATTTTAAATTACTTTTGAAAATACTTATTTTTTAACCGTTAATAACCAGAAGAGTTACATTTGGAACACTTTCTAGATCAGTTTTTATTTATTTAAAAATTATTTATTTATTTTTACAGAGATGGGGTCTTGCTTTGTTGCCCAGGTTGGTCTTGAACTCCTGGCCTCCAGTGATCCTCCCACCTCAGCCTCCCAAAGTGTTGGGATTATGGCATGAGCCACTGTACCCAGCTTTGTATCAGTTATTAGATGGTAGAAACTAGAGGCTTAATTCTGGAAAGCATATCTTGACAGTAGTTTAAATGTGAAAAAGTATTTTTAGAAACAAATTTTGGCTGATGTGAACACAGATTCATTGTAGTATCTGATGTTGTCACAGTCTTCAAGAGAATAAAAAACAACCATTCACCATCCTTGATATGTGTTGAAACGCATGCTGCTGTGTGTGCAAATGAAGCCACTTTTATACTTGTATTATTTTGCATCAACTGTCTATTTTGAATTTAAATAATCATGCTTTGATTCTTCATAAGTTTTTACTTTATGGAATTGTTTGCACTGACCATAAAATATAAATAAAAGAAATAAATGTGAAATAAAAAAGTGGTCCAAAGAGGAGGTCATTTCTTTGGGAGGGGTTGGGGGTGGGAAGTAGGCTGGAGAGGGAGTCACCATGGCCCTGGGCATGGTGCTCCTGGAAAGAGGTGATTCCCTGCCCTCCATGGGGATGGAGTTAGGAGTACTTGCCACTCCCCAAGCAGCCCCTAAAAGAATCACATGGAACTTTGGGGGATGTCTGCAAGAAGAGGAGCTTGGTATCTTGTTCTGATGGGCTGGACGACCTGCCCAGAGGAAAAGAAAACTGGGAGATGAAGACCTTAGAGAGAGCCCGCTTAACCCTCCCCAGTGCCAGCCTGTGTTTCCCTTGGGTCAGATTACCTGGGAAGCGAGCCATGTCGAGCTATCTGGCTGCCTCCTTCCCAGGCCGTCTGCCGGGTGGGGAGTGCATGGGAATGTCCTGACACAAATGGCATGGAAAAGAGGCTGGGGGTTCAGCCAAAGCACAGCTGAGGGAGCTGAGGAATAAGGAGGACTTGGGGAGGGTGTAGCCACCTCATTTCCTTTTTAATTGCAAAGCAATACATGCTCCCTGTAAAAATTTATGTGTATCATAAAATTTACAGTGCCATAGTACCCCATAGTATGAATAAACTATATCTGTTCCCCTGGTAGCAGGTAGATGGTTTTCGACCTCTGCGTACATACTGACGCATTGAATATCTTATGTCTTTAGGTGCTAATGCAAATATTTCTGTAGAACAGATTCCTGGGAGTGGAATTGTTGGGTCAAAGAATGTTCACATTTATAAATTGGTAGATAATACCAAAATTGACCTCTAAGAAGCTGCACCAATTT
This sequence comes from Homo sapiens, assembly GCF_000001405.40. Lineage (NCBI taxonomy): Eukaryota > Metazoa > Chordata > Mammalia > Primates > Hominidae > Homo > Homo sapiens. The sequence continues at coordinate 181,070,992 of NC_000005.10, read as the reverse complement.
ATAAGCCCACCAAAAATGTGCAGGAATGCCCAATTCTTGGGGAATCGTTGTCTTCCCATTGAGATTCCCTGGCGAGCTGGGGATAACTTGATGCCCGCTTGGCTGAGGAGGTCTTTCCCCCACTCTGCTGATGGCAGTGGCTGCTGCCAGTATGCCGGCTACAGCAGGGAGGCACGGCTGGAGCTGCACGCTCCAGGGAGCTGGTGGGAGCCCTGTCCCTTCTGAGTTGGGACTGGAGCTCCAGGCGCCCAAACTGCAGACGCAGACCCAGGCCTCCTGTTGTACGGAGCAGGCGGGAGGGCCGGGGCCATAGCAGCCCAAACTGCACCTGTGGATCCGAGCCCCCTCTGTGCTCTTGGGGGAGGGCTGGGAGCAGACAGGGTCTGCCTTCAGGGGTGTGGCTGCGTCTGCCCTCCTAGGCGCTGCAGCTGCCTTCTTACCTGCAGGACCCGGGCATCTCTGCAGCCTGCACCCTCGGGGGCCCCAGAAAGGACCCCTCCCTTCCCCCACTTCTGTCCCTGTAGGCTCTGGGGCGTCTGCTCCCACTACCTGGCTTTTCTCCACTCCTGGCAACTGCTCCGATCTTGGATCGGATTTGGGGCCGAGCCCTGGGGGCCTTGAATGACCACAGGAGGCAGACGGAGTCCTTGGCGGAAGGGGGAAGGTCCCCAGTAAAGGTCCCTCTTTCAGGTCAGGGCGGGCCTTGAAGGCTGGGCTGCCAGTCCTGCGGACCTGAGTGGAGACTCGTGGTGCCTCTTCTGGACCCGCCCATGGCCACGCATGGGCCAATCGGCATGCACTTCCTCCCCGCCTGAGGCCTATAAAAGTCCCGGGACCAGGCGGACTCGGCAGGAGAACGACCAGCCAGAGAGGACGGCGGAGAGGCTGCTGGACAGACCAATAGCTGGAAAGAGAAGGGTACTCGCTCCACTGCGAGATGCAGGGACTTGCCGGCAGAGAGGAGCTACTGTCTTTGCTTAGAGCTTCGGAGACCTGCAGAGATACCTGAATGACTTACCTGTGGAGAGGAGTTAACCTCTGCAGGACCTCTTTTCTGCTGAGAGCTGAGCACTCCACGGGTAGCCAGCCTGCAGTGAGCAGCTACCCACTCCTCGGAGCTGCTCTAACACTAAATAAAACTCTTTTTCACACTTCACTTGTCATGATGTCCGTGGGATATCTTTTTACTTGTGTCTTCAATTTATTTCCTTAATGTATTAGAGTTGTCAGTGTGCAGATACTTCGTTTTTCTGGGTTAAGTTTATTTTTAAGTATTTAAATTTTTTTGATGCTATTGAAAGTGGTGTTTTCTTGATTTCTTTTGCAGATAGTTTGTTAAATATATGGAAATGCTTATTGCTTTTTGTATGTTGGTTTTTTTTATCCTGCAACGTTATGGAATTCATTGGTTTTAACTTTTTTTAATTAGCGTTTTTAAGGTTGTCTACATATAAAATAATGCTTTCTGCAAATAGGGATAATTTAGTTTTTCTTTGCTACCTCAAATGTTTTTCTTTTTCTTTTCTGATTGCTCTTGCTATTACTGTCAGTTGTGTGTTGAAGTGGTGAGAGGGGGGCATCTTTGCTTTGCACTCGATCTTAGAGTAAAATATTTCAGTATTTCCTCATTATGGTACTAGCTGTGGGCTTTTCATGAATGACCTTTCTGTATTTAGGAAGTTTTCTTCTGTACCAATTTTGTTGAGAGCTTTTTTGAAGAAAACATGAATGTTAAATTTTGTCAAATAGTTTTTATGCATCAACGGAGATAGCCATGTGGTTTTTATCGTTCATTTTGTTAATGTGGGGTATCATATGCATTGCTTTGTCCATCCCAGGGATAATTCCCACTTGTTCATATGATGTTTATGATGTGTTGTCGAGTTTGGTTTTGCTAGTATTTATTGAGAATTGGTGCATCTATGTTCATTGGAGATATTGGCCTGTAGTTTTTTTAATAGTGTTTTTGTCTGGCTTTGGTATTAGAGTAATGCTGGTCTCATGAAGTCAGTTTGGAAATTCTATTTCCATTTCAATTTTTTGGAAGATCTTCAGAGATACTGGTATTCTCTTTAACTGTTGTAGAATTCATCAGTGAAGCCATCAGTTTTTAAGCTTGTCTTTGGTGGGAGACTTTTTATTTTATCTCCTTACTTATACTTTTTACATTTTCTTTCTTCCTTTCTTCCTTTCCTTCCTCTCATTCCTTCCTTTCCTTATTTCCTTTCTTTCTTTCTGAGACAGAGTCTTGCTCTGTTGCCCAAGCTGGAGTGCAGTGGCACAATCTTGGCTATGCAACCTCTGCCTCCCAGGTTCAAGCAATTCTCATTCCTTGGCCTCTCGAGAAGCTGGGATTAGGGCATATGCCCTGAAACCGGCTAATTTTTGTATTTTTAGTAGAGATGAGGTTTTGCCATGTTGGTCAGGCTGGTCTTGAACTTCTGGCCTCAAGTGATCCGCTCACCTTGGCCTTCCAAAGTTGCTGGAATTACAGGCGTGAGCCACCATGCCCAGCCTGTATTTTCTATTTCTTAATGATTCATACTTGGTATATTATATGTTGCTAGGAATTTATCCATTTCTTCTAGATTATCTGATTGGTTGCTGTTCATAGTAGCTTTTTATGATCTTTTTTTTACTTCTGTGGTATCAATTGTAATGTTTCCTCTTTCATTTCTGGTTTTATTTGAGTCTTCTGTCTTTTTTTATAGTTTAGGGAAAGGTTTGTGAATTTTGCTTATCTTTTCAAAAAATCCAGTTCTCAATTGTGTATTGATTTTTTTCTGCTGTTTTCTAGTCTCAATTTCACTTATTTCTGCACTGATCTTTATTGTTTCTTTTATTCTGCTCACTTGGGGTTTTAGTTTGTTCTTTCCCTAGTTGCTTGAGATGTAAAGTTAGGTTGCTTCTTGTGATTTTTCCATTTTCATATTGTGTTATATTTTCATTTTTATTTGTCCCAAGATATTTTTTGTTTTCTCTGTGATTTCTTCTTTGGCTCATTGTTATTCAGGAGCAGGTTGTTTAATTTCCACATATTTGTGCATTTTGCAAGATTTCTCCTGTTGTTATTTTCTAGTTTCATACCATTGTGATTAGAACAGACACTTGATATAATTTCAGTCTTCTTATGTTGTGCTGTAACATAGAATCTATCCTGCACAATGTTCCATGTGCTCCAGAAAAGCATGTGTATTCTGTTGCTGTTGGATGAAATGTTCTGTATACATCTATGAGGTCTACTTGGTTTGAAGGCCAATGTTTCCTTTTTGATTTTCTGTCTGGATGTTCTATTCCTTGTTGAAAGTGAAATATTGGCCAGGCTCATGCTGGCGGTTCACACCTGTAATCCCAATACTTTGGGAAGTCTAGGAGGGAGGATTGCTTGAGGCCAGGAGTTCAAGTTGACCAGCCTGCACAACATACTAGACCCTGTCTCTACCAAAAAAAAAAAAAAAAAAAAAATTGCCAGGCATGGTGGTGGCACACGCCTGTAGTCCTAGCTACTTAGGAGGCTGGAGGCAGGAGGATTGCTTGAGCTCAGGAATTCAAGGTTACAGTGAGCTATGATTGTGTGACTTCACTCCAGCCCAGGCAACAGAGCAAAACCCTGTTTCTAAACAAAAAGTAAAAAAAAAAGTATTAAAGTCATCTCCTACAATTGCATTTTAGTTTATCTCTCCCTTTAAATTATTTTAAATTTGCTTTATATATTTAGGTGCTCTAGTTTTGGGCGCATATATATTTATAATTGTTATATCCTCTTAATATTGAAATATTATTACATAATGACTTTCTTAATCTCTTTTTACAATTTTTGACCTAAAGACTATTTTGTCTGATACAAGTATAGCTAACCCTGCTATCTTTGTGTATCCATGCACATGGAATATCTTTTTGCAAGTTGTATTTTTGTCTATTACTTTACTGCCCTATCAATTCTTTATTTTTAAAGTGAGTTGTCTGTCAATCTCTTCTTTTTAATAGAAGTGTTTATTCTGTTTGTAGTCATTATAGCTATCTCTCTGGTAAGATTTAAATCTAACATTTGCTTTTTGTTTTCTACGTATCTGTACCCTTTTCAAAAAACACAATTCCTCCTATTTGCATCCTATTGGACTAATCAAAATTGTTTGGTATTTTATTTTATCACCTCTATTGATTTTTTCAGTATAAATCTTCATCTTTTGGCATTTTATTTTATTGTTTTTTTCTTAACTTTAGAATTCACACTATGCAGTCTCCATATACTTCAGTCTACCTGGATTTGTTGTAACAATTTACAGATGACATAGAAAATTGAAAATGTTACATATCTTTTTGTGGAAAGGTCCCACTTTCAGGCCAGGGAGGGCCTTGAAGGCTGGGCTGCCAGTCCTGCGGACCTGAGTGGGGACTCGTGGTGCCTCTTCTGGACCCGCCTATGGCCACCCATGGACCAATCGGCATGCACTTCCTCCCCTCTAAGGCCTATAAAAGTCCCGAGACCAGCCAGAGCAGGCCAGAGAAGGACCACAAAACAAAGAGGGCAGAGAGACGACTGTACAGACGACCAGCTGGAGAGAGAATAGTACTCTCTCCACTGAAAGCTTCAGAGACCTGCCGGCAGAGAGGACGTATTTTCTCTGCTATGAGAGCTTCAGAGACCTGTAGAGACATCCAAATGACTTGCCTGTGGAGAGGAGCTACCCTCTTCAGGGCCTCCTTTCTGCCGAGGACTGAACACTCCATGGGCAACCAGCCTACAGTGAGGAGCTACTCACTCCTCTGAGCTGTTGGAACACTAAATAAAACTCTTCTTCACCCCTCACTTGTCTGTGTATGATACAGGAAAAGAACAAGAATTTGGGCAAAGTGCCACAGCCACAGAGGTTTCCAGGAGATACACCAGCAAAATCAACACCCCAGAGATCCCATAACACTACCACCAAAGAGCTTCCCATCCTCAGGCGCCCTCAAGCAGCAGAAGCCTCCCAACCAGGTTCAGCACTGGTGTATTCTGTACACTGGACGGAGATACACACGAAAGTGCTGCAATCACCCTTTTCCTACTTTTGAGGGTTAGCTGCATGGAAAATGTGAACGATAGGGAGAAGGACATCCACCATGTGCTATTTGTATACACTTGCATGGGGCCGCTTGCAGGAGGGAAACGTGGGTTTTTACTCTGCATGCTCCAGCCTTCTGGGCAGCCTCTCCCGGGGCCTTCATGGTTCACAAAATGTATACCTGAATGTCTCAGGTCTCTCTCAGTTTAAGGCTGGGTATTGGACCCTCCCACCCCCTTTTTTTTTTAAGTCCCCGGAGGGTATTTATTTTCTCTTTTCAACATCCTGTTCTGCAGCTTGCATCAGCTCTCCATATGCCGAAGAGCCAGGTGTTGGCACAGGCCATGTGGAGACTAGCAAAGGCTTTGGGGCAAAGGCTTTGAAGTTCTCCTCCTCGGTGATGATTTAGGCTTTCTCCTTCCTGTAGACATACCTGATGGGCATAACGGGTCTGGTCAATCTGGTGGCCAATTTCAGTTCTGCTGAACTGTCTCTCTTCTTGGGGGCCAAGGGCTTCCTGGGGAGAGGATGAGTTTGGTCCCATGCACCTTTAGGTGCCGTGCATTGGCCTGCGGGACTCAGTGGACTTGTTCTGTCATCTTGGCTCCACAGAGATGCCAATGGTTTGGCCCAGCTTCTTGTGAATGCCAGCTACCCTTAGCTCCTCCAAGCTGCAGACCCTGCCTACTTTGGTATGATGCCTTACCACGAGACACCTTACTATGGGCTGGATGGGCCCAGGAACGGGGGTCGGGGTGACGGGATCTTTGGCTGGCTGGTTGAGCCACATGGTTGTGTGCCGCTGTCAGCCCTTGTGAGAGAGGGGTTTGAACTTAATGCCACTCCAGCTGGGGCCCCTGGCTGCCTACAGCCCTCCTGCACTGGAAAACAGCCTGCCCATCATTTAAAGTGGGCTGATGGTGTCCACTGATTATTTAAACACAGTTTAGCATTGTTTTTTATATTAGCTGTATGTTTGCTTTTCTTATTTATCACATAAATACAGTCTTAAAGGAATAATAGCTACAGATGGAGAGGGAACATATTTTTAATGTTATCACAAAAACATTCATGAGTAAGAACCCTAAATATTCTCACACTAATGCAAATGACTCTAGAAAAAAAAACTTCCATTTTCTGAATATCATGTGTTAATTAAGGGGAATAGCTTTCTCCCAACAGGTGACCAAGAATATTTTCATAAGCTTAAAATGCACTTATCTGACTTGATGGAGAAACAAATTACAATCTCCCTCTAGAATTGCACAAACAATGGTCTCTGGAGCTGGCATCTCATGAGAGCTGATCATGGGTGTCTCTTCCTGCTATGGTCTGAATGTGTCCCTCTCCACCATGCCCCACTCACATGTTGAAATCGTAACACCCAATGCAATGTAGTAGGAGGTGGGACTTTTGGGAGGTGCTTAGGTCATGAGGGTGGAGTCCTTATGATGGGATTAATGCACTTGTAAAAACAGACCTGTTAGAGGCTGGGTGGCTCACGCCTTTAATGCCAGTCCTTTGGGAGGCCGAGGAGGACAGATCATGAGGTCAAGAGATCGAGACCACCCTGGCCAACATGGTGAAACCCTGTCTCTACTAAAAATACAAAAATTAGCTGGGTGTGGTGGTGCATGCCCGCAGTCCCAGCTACTCTGGAGGCTGAGGCAGGAGAATCACTTGAACCCAGGAGGTGGAGGTTGCTGTGAGCTGAGATCGCGCCACTGCACTCCAGCCTGGCGACAGAGTGAGACTGTCTCAAAAACAAAAAACAAACAAAAAAAACAGAAACAGACCCTGGTAGGGGCTGGATGAGGTAACTTATGCCTGTAATCTCAGCAGTTTGGGAGGCTGAGGTAGGTGGGTCACTTGAGGCCAGGAGTTCCAGACCAGCCTGGGCAACATAGCAAGACCCTGTCTCAATTTAAAAGACAAAAATATAAACGGACCCTGGAGAACTCTCTTGCTGTCTGCCATGTGAGGATACAAAGCAAAGCAGCAGTTTGCAACCCAGAAGAGAACCCTCGCCAACCCTGACCGTGCTGGGACCCTGATCCTGGACTTGCAGCCTCCAAAACTGTGAGAAATAAATTTCTGTTGTTTACAAGCCACTCCGTGTATGGTATTTTGTTACAGCAGCGAGAGCTGACTAAGGCACTTCTTCCGTGTGTGGTATTTTGTTACAGCAGCGAGAGCTGACTAAGGCACTTCCTCCATGTGTGGCATCTTGTTACAGCAGCGAGAGCTGACTAAGGCACTTCCCCCGTGTGTGGCATCTTGTTACAGCAGCGAGAGCTGACTAAGGCACTTCCCAGTCTGCCCTCAGTGGTGTCACATCTTTAGCTTGAAATCAACCATAGTGGGAGGACTTGCACCAGGGAAATTGGCTCAATATTTTTTTTTTCAGAAAGCCAGTTTTTTTTTTTTTTTTTTTTTTTTTTGAGACAGAGTCTCACTCTGTCGCCCAGGCTGGAGTGCAGTGGTGCAATCTCGGCTCACTGCAAGCTCCGCCTCCCGGGTTCACGCCATTCTCCTGCCTCAGCCTCCCGAGTAGCTGAGACTACAGGCACCCGCCACCGCGCCCAGCTGATTTTTTATATTTTTAGTAGAGACGGGGTTTCACCGTGTTAGCCAGGATGGTCTTGATCTCCTGACCTTGTGATCCACCGCCTCGGCCTCCCAAAGTGCTGGGATTGCAGGCATGAGCCACCGCGCCCAGCCTAGAAAGCCAGTTATTAAACATTTATCAGACACCACTGCATTTCTTTATCATTCTCTCTCTCTTTTGTTTATATTACTATATGTCTTAATGAACCATTTGAAAATAAGGTATAAACATCATAATCCTTTACCCCTTAATATGTAAGTGTGCATTTTCTTAAAAGCATTCTTCTACATCAAAATGAGGAAATTAACATTTATCCAATATTATTATCTAATCCACACACCTCTTTCAAAATGCCCTTTTTTCCCCCAATAATCTCCCCCCGCCGGACTCGAGCAATCATTCCACCTTAGCCTCCGAAAGTGCTGGGATTACAGGCCTGAGCCAATTTGTCTGGCCCAGTGATGTTTTTTATAGATCCAGGATCCCATCCAGGGTCACCTGTTGCACTTAGTTGTCCTGTTTCCTTTAGTCTGAAGCAGTTCCTTAGTGTTGTCCCGTCTTTCATGACCTTGACATTGTTGAAGAGTACCAGTCAGTTTCTGTGATGTTTCCTCCTGATTTATGCATTTTTGGGTGCAGGAATACCTCAAAAGTGATGCCGTTTGTATTCTGCATTGTATCAGGAAGAATGTGATGTAAACTGTTTTCGCATCTGGTGATGTTAACTTTTGTCATTTGGCTAAGGTGGCGCCTGCCAGCCTCCTCCACTGTAAAGTTAATTGGTACGTGTTTTGTACTTATGAGTTAAGAAGTAATATTTTCAGACTCCTATTGTAGGGCAGAGCTTTCTCTTCTCTCCATGAATTTGTTTATGTATGTATGTATGTATGTATGTATATCAGTGGGGAAATATACATATGGATTCCTATTTGATTCAGGGGTTCAAAATCCATTCTGACGTCTAAATCCATTCGACATGGCTCTTCTGTGCAACCTACTTCCTTATTTTCTGGTGTAGGATATTGTAGGCTCTCCTTGTATTTTCCCTGCCCCAGCCTTGGACTCAACCATTTCTCCAAGGAGACTTTATTCCTTTTACTGAAAATCGTACTAAAAACTAAGTTCTGGGTCTCGGTGTGCCCGTTGGTACTGGGGTGTTATTGTTGCTAAGCCTTCAAACAAGACAGAGCTGGGAACGATCTGCATGCACCCACACATATCTGTGTATCTGTCCACGTGTGTGCGTGCATTCCATCTCTCTACATGCAGTAAAACCCACGCATTCACATTGATACATCTCATTCCAGTCCACCTCAGAGTCACCCTCATCCTCTCCTTTCCCCTTTCCGTATTTCGTATTTCCCTTCACTGACAGCGAAACCCGACTCTCAGCGCACTTAGTGAATTCCCGACTCTCAGCGCCACTTAGTGAATTTTTTTATTTGTGCCACCTCCCTCTGGTACGTAACCGAACTCCCGGGCCTGTGGGGCGAAAGCTCATCCCAGAGGTGTCCCTGCCCCATCCGTTCCCATCCTGGTGCTAAAGGCCCTAGTAGAAATCTCAGTCCCCATGAAGAGGAAAAGAAAAGGAGAGGGAAAGAGGGAAGAAGGAGGAAAGACCAGTTAGAAAGCTTGGCTGCGGACCAGTCTCCCTTCCTCATTCCCCCTTTCAAACAAGACGGGCAAGGAAAGCTCTGCCTGGATTAAGGGGAAGGGGATGAGAGCCATATTTACTTACTCTGAAACAATGGCCTAGGAGATCGTCCAGCAGTTTCATTATAGCTCCTTTCAAATGAATGATTTTGAATATGAGTATTTAAAAAAAGTGTTTTCCCCTTTATTACAGAACTGATACATATACATTATTGAACATTAAAAAATACAAAGAAGACATTTTAAGAATGCAATTACCAAACATTTTCCCATCCAAAGATAATCACTTAGTTTTTTGGTGTATCCTTCTCCCCGCCACCCAACTCTTAGTTTGCAAAATTTCAAACCCACAGCAAAGCCACATTGATAGTACAATGAACATCTGTCGACCAGTCACCTAGAGTCACCAAGTGTTGTCATTTTACTACATTTGACTTGTCTCTTTCTTTCTTTATATTCATATGTTTTATATTTTTCCACTTAGTCACTGGAAATTCAGTGGCAGACACTGTGGTAATTAATATCTAAAAACTTCAGTATGTTTGCTAAGAACAAGAATGTTCTCCTACATAGCCACAGTACAAATGTCTCACTCTGAAAATGAAGCCAGGCACAGCGGCTCATGCCTGTACACCCAGCATTTTGGGAGGCCCAGGTGGGAGGATTGCTTGAGCGCAGGAGTTTGAGACCAGCCTGGGTAACAAAGTGAGACCCCCGTCTCTATAACGCACTTAAAATTGGGCATGGTGTTGTGTGCTGAGGTGGGAGGATCACTTGGACCCAGGAGGTTGAGGCTGCACTCCAGCCTGGCCGACAGAGACAATGTCTTGGGGGTAGGGGGTGAAGAACACTTCTTTCCCCAGTTGTCAAACTAATAATGTCCTTGGTCCCATCATTGATGATGTTAAATTTAATCACTTGGATGATCTGGTAGATGTCTCCATTGTAAAGGTAACCTTTCCCCTTTCAAACTTATAAGTAGTGTATAAGGTTACTGCTTTGAGACTGGAAACAGCCTGTTCTCCAAGACTCTCACCAATAATTAGATTTCACCTCCAAAAGAAACCTTCCTGTTTCTCCTTTTTAAAAAGAAATTTGAGTATCAGCATGAACTCATGGATTATGTTTTTATTCAGTGTGTTATAATCTCTCCTGTCATTATTCATCCTGATGTTCAAATTGTCCCACAATTGGTCAGTGAGGCCCCTTCGGCCTGGCTCCCTACCCTTTTGCCGGGTTGCCGTCACGTTTTGAGCCTTTATTTTACTTCACCACACACAATGCTCCAGGCTCACCTTGAAATTTTTGCCCCGGCTCCAGAAGCAGCTGTTCCTCCAACTTCATTTTAATGGGAAATGGTTTTTAAAACTAGGATCTGAGCCTTACTTAGGTGAACTCGTTGCTTACGAAGTGTTATTGCATCTCGACCTTTTTAGAGCTAGCAAACATATACAAAAAATATAAAACTATACAAATTAACTGATCCCTCTAAGGCAGTCACCAAAGTTTTCTCCCTTCTTTCTTCCATGCTGGCTTCTTGCCCACCGCCCACCGTGAGCACCCCAGCTCTGAGCGACGTGGATATATTTGTACTCCTTCGCTCAGTCCCACAATCCACAAACGAGCTTTGGACTTGTCTCCTTTCCTTGAAGAAAATCGCACTACACATACACATCTACGTAGGCAAAGGTCCCTCTCTTTGTCCCCCTCGCTGACATTTTGGCTGGTGCACCTGCTCCCTTCAGACGGAGCAGGAGAGCAAAGCGCTGGCCTGGGATCCAGGGGGCCCCCCGGGGCCAGTCCCGCGGCCACGAGGGCGCCTCACCACCAGTCCAGGGCGGGGTCCGCGGGCTCATAGGGCTGTAGCCAGGTGTCACTGTCGTTCTCTTCGGGGACGCCCGTCCCTCTAACCGGCAGCGGGCAGATGGTCAGGGGATCCGGATGTTCGCCGCCGTCGTGGGCCCTGGGCCTGAAGTACGCACAGAGCGCGCCCGAGAAGGTGTCGTGGAAGGTGAAGATGTGGGAGCCGTCGGACACGTTGAAGAAGGACAGCTCTCCGGCCTCGTAGTCCAGGAAGACGCCCAGGCGCCGCGGGGGCACGCGCAGGGTGAGCGCGACGCGGTGCGGGGCCAGGACGAAGTACTCGCAGCCGTTCCACAGCCCCAGCACCCAGTAGCCGGCCGCAGGGCTCAGGCGCGCAGGCCCCGCGCGCGGCACCGCGGCCAGGCAGGCGCCCAGGAACCAGCGGCTGCGGCGGCCCACGTGCACCTCCCAGTAGTGGCGGCCGGCGGAGAACCGCTCCAGGCTCAGCGCGCACGTCTGCTCCGAGAACCGCTGCGGGTGGCCAGGCGCCGGGCCTGGCGGCGCCCCGCGGGAAGACACGCTCTTGCCATCCTCCGACACCTCCAGGCTGGGGTGCGCCGAGGCCGGGTCCAGCGTCACATCCACTGCGCAGAGCCACAGCGTTAGTGCCCGCCCGGGACGGTCTGGGCCCCGTCCGTGTCTTCCCCAAGGCGGACAAACCTCTCGTTTCTCTTGGTGGAATAATCGAGGAAATGAACCCCTTACCCCGACCCTCACCCCTGCAAACCCCCTCCCCAGGACTGAAGTGGCATGTGTCAGTCACTCCTGAGTGTTTGATAGTGACAAGGAATCCTGTCCTTTCCTGAACTGGAAGGTCCCTGAATTCCATACCAGAGATAGCAAAGGAAGTAGGCTGGCGGGGAGGGAGCCACGTCCCGGTCAAGGGGAAGGACCTATGGGCTGGTTCTAGTTCCTGCTGGTGGCACCACCCTGCGTGACCTTGGCATAATCAGGAGAGCGCTGAGCGTCATTTTACAGAAATTTTGGATTTTTTTTTTTTTTTTTTACATACAGTCCTTCAGAAAAGTTTTTAAAAGGATTTTAAAAGGACCTTTGAGATCATCTAGTCCAGTGCCCCACATTTCAACACCCCATGCCATCTGACAGATGGGAACCTAGGGGACCCCTTCGTCAGAGAATCTGGGAGGTTCATTACAGACTCTGCACTCTCGCCTGCAAATAGCCTCAAGCCAGATGGAAACAAACCTAGTGTAACCCCAAGGAGCGATGTGTTTGGGAGCTCACGTGTGCATGTGTGTGCATACACATGCAGGCATATGTGTCGTGTGGCGTGTTTGCAAGTGTGCGTGTGTGTCTTGTGTGTGCAGGCCCCATACTTGGCTCCTATAAAGCCCCGTCCTCTAATCTCAGATCTCTCCACCTCCCTTCTGTTTAAGATCCGGCCAAACCAAAACACAAATCAGTTTCCTGGCTTCAGTTACCTGCATATTTTTGGGCTGCTCTCCACTCTGAAACCAAACAGAAAAGGGGAAAAAAGCTCAGAAATCTCAGTCAGTAACTCTGGAACCTTAACGAAGTCTCCAGATGTATGAGGGATGCATGCAGATCGAATGACCCCATTCCCACTGTGACAACTGGTTTGAATCCAGACTGGTCTTGGGGTTCACCATGTATTTTCCTGAGAAATTTTAGATTGAGTAGAGGCCTGTGTCATTGATACCAGAGCTACGTGCAGGCTGAAATTCTGCTGGAAAAAGCAGGAGAGTGGAGCATGTAGGTAAAGAGACTCTATAAGCAGCCTGGATGCCCTGAGAGACAGAAGTGGAGCCTCAGCCTCTGACCCGCCAGGCTGTGCCCAGGAGGCCCAGCTGAGCCTGACGGGTCCCAAAGATGCCCTCCAGATGTCCTGTCTTTTCCTGGCATGCCTCCATTCTTAATGTGAATCAATCTGAGTGGATTTCTGTTGTGTTTTATCTTGTTTTGTTTTGCAACAAAGATATCACCAAGTCACAAAAGCAAAAGCAACACAAGACGTTCTCAGAGCTCCAGATATTTACAGCAAGGCTTTGCTGCCCCGGTTTTGCGTCAGGATAACTGGTGAAGCTTTAAACACCCTAGCTCTTGTGTGGAATATCTCAGTTCTACAAAGATGTTGATTTTCCCTAGTTTATCTGTAAGTTCAAAGTAATCCTATGTAAAACTCCTTTTGCATTTTTTGGGGAGATTTATGAATTTATCCTAAAATTTATATTTTAAAAATGTTCATTCACTTTAAAAAAGGAAGTGGAAATGGAGAAGGAAAACTTGTACTTTCAGCTACTACAAAAGCCATAGCAGTAAAAACAATGATGTAATAGGTGGCCAATGGACAAACTCATATAGAGATGGGAATCCAATATGCATCAAAGGTGGTTCCCCACATCAGTGGCAGCCCTGGAATGGTGGAGTAAATGGCGTTGGTAAGCCCAACTGACTATATGGAGAAAAATCACAGGATTCTCACCCAACACCTCATAAAATGGCAAATTTTAGAGGGATTAAAGATGCAAATATAACATAAAGATAGTTGAAAGGTTTTTGTAGTTACATAAAGAAAAAAAAAATAGAAGAAAGTGTAAGAGAATCTTTGTGACCTAAGTGTGAGGAAGGTCTTCAACAAAACTTCAAAAACACAAACCATAAAGAAAAAGTTGATGGATTATGTTTTATCAAAATTAATAATTCCTTTTCAATAAGGGGAACTATGGACAAAGCTAATGGCAGATGGCACAACAGAAGAAGGAATTCACGATGTTTACCCATGAGGGATTAATCTCACACACACACACACACACACACACACACACACACAGATATATAATATTCCTGTTAATAATAAAAGACAGCCATCCCATAAGAAAAATGGGTCAGTGATGTGAGCTGGCAATTTTCAGTAGAGGAAGTCCCCAGAGCCAACTAGCATATACAGAGATGCTCAATCTTCTCAGCATTCAGAGGTTGCAAACCTAAAGAACAATGAGCCATCACTTATCCCCACTGATTGGCAAACTTGGAATGCTGGTTCACATGAGATGTGGGCACATGGAATCTCACTGCATGGCTGGTGGCAGGATAACGACACTGCCTTCCTGGGATCCCACTATCCCCTTAGTGGACATACCCACCATGGGCCAGCAGTCCCCCTCCTAGTTATATACCCCAGAGAAATCTCCACACAGCGCCGTAAGGCAACACGTTTGAGACTATGCATTCAGTGTTGTTGTGGAGTTAGAGGCAGCCTGGATACCTTCTCCAGGAGGGTGGCTGGCTAAAACGAAGCACTCTGCAGTAAGGAGGAAAAACAGACTGAATGCACACGAGTGGCAGCGATGGATATTAAAGCATGATGATGCATACGGGAAAAGCAAGGAACATCACAGAACCATAAATGTCACTTACATGAACTAAGATGCATATGCATACATCGATATTCACATTTTGCAAGAATATATACAAAATATATACATTAGACTGTCTGCATTATGGGTGAATAGAGGGAGGTATGCAGAGAAGTATTTACATGTACAGCAACACACTCATGCCAGAACCATGAGTCTGAGTCTTGGAGGATGGGCACCAGGAGTCGAGGTAACTCTGATATGTAACCAGGATTGGAACTAGTGGTTTGCAGTACACTTAGTCCTCAGGACAGAGTATGACCTCTACCCAGTGACATAGATTAACACATGCTGTGTGAGGCCACGGAATGCAACCAGAATGAAGCCTGATTGGTTAATCAGGTGAGTTGGACTGGGGTGCTCAGATATAAATGAGGAGGAGTCAGAGAGAGATGGGTTCCACTCACCAGCCTGGCCTTCAGCCCGTCTCCAGTCTGAAGCAACCAAGGGAAAACAGGAAATTAGCACATCAGGACCCCAAGCTTCCCTGCTCACACATCACATCTTGCACCCACCCTGTCCCGCACCCCCCACCACCCACATAGCCAGCAGGGGTCCTGCCTGGGCATCATACCTGGTTGGGAGATGAGAAGAAGATATATGGGGAATCAGATGCAAAATGATGAATGAGGAGAAATAGTTCTTTTTTTTTTTGAGACAGAGTCTCGCTCTGTCGCCCAGGCTGGAGTGCAGTGGCGCCATCTCGGCTCACTGCAAGCTCCGCTTCCCGGGTTCACGCCCTTCTCCTGCCTCAGCCTCCCATGTAGCTGGGACTACAGGCACATGCCGCCACGCCGGGCTAATTTTTTGTATTTTTAGAAGAGACGGGGTTTCACTGTGTTAGCCAGGCTGGTCTCGATCTCCTGACCTCGTGATCCACCCGCCTCGGCCTCCCAAAGTACTGGGATTACAGGTGTGAGCCACTGGACCCGGCCCTGAGGAGAAATAGTTCTAAGAGGGGTCACTTACCAAGCTCTGTCTGAAGCTTTTCTGCAAGCAGAACACACAAAGAAAACTTCAGCCTGCAGGTGGGTGGAACCATCTTCCCAAGACAGGCCACTGGGAAGAGCTTCCTTAGTCTTAAGCCACTGCTAATCACAGCTTCATTTTTTTTTTTTTACAGCTTCCTCTTTGCCCCTTCATTGCCCTCAAAAAGAGGCCCATCTGCAGGACTCTTATGCCTCATCCTATCTTAGCTCAAAGGTGGAAATCTGCACACAGCCTAGAAGGGATACCAGATCTTAGTACTGACAGGCCTCTTCCCAGGGTTGGGGTTGTTCCTTCTGCCTGAAATCACAAGCTTCCTGGGGCGGAGCTCCCGCCTAAGTGCAGGCACTGAGGGCCGCCTACGTGAGCCTCACGGTCACTCACCGGGTGCGTTATCTGAAGGACTGGAAGGACATCACACCCAATTATTTCCCCAAATAATTACCAAGGACTCCAACATTTTGCTACTAAAAATGCATTCCTTTGATCTGTCCACCCAATGTCAAGCTCTTTCAAAAGTAAATGCTCCTGGGAGAGGCATTCATGCTATAGTGTTATGACTTACAATTCAGACTATAGCCTTAATGACTTATTAGGGCTATGTTTTTCTCATTCCCCTTGAAGGGCGAGGTAGACTGCCAGACAAGCTTTCCCAACCTTACAGTTTCATCTGAATTGCCCCCCCAACCCCAACACCATGATGGCCTTTTCCTCCATTCCCCCTCCCTTGGGTTCACTCTCTCTTCCTCTCTACAGAGACACATCCCATGGTTTCACGTCTCTGAGTCCCTCTGGGGAGAAAAGTGGATCTGAGAAATTATTTCCATTTTGGTGCAAATTAAAGGTGCCACCCTTCCTAGTGCCATTTGCATTAAAAAGAAAAGGATATTTTAAGAAGATGAACCGGAGACAGTAAACGTTTTATGATGAATTTTAACTGAATTGTCTAATTTGCAGGGGAGGAGCTGGCAGGGTCTGTGCAGAGGGTCTCGGGCAGCTGCACGGTGGCAGGCAGCCATCCTTTCAGCCCCTTAGCAAGGGAAGAGGTGGAGGCTCACAGGGATGGTTTAGAATTAGATAGTTGCCAGCCGCTGTCCAAAGGGAGCCCCTCCTCCCACTGCACAGGCACAGGGTCCGGCTGACAGGCAGCACTGTGGCCCCGCACCCAGAACTTACCCAGCTCTGCAGTGAGTTTCTCTAGAGAAAAAAAAAAAAAAAAGATGAAGAAAAGGGGAAAGACTCTCAGGTTGGGGAATGAGGCAGACAGAACAGATGGGTGAACACTGAGGCCTCACCTCCGATGCGGCACTCCCACCCGCGGTGGTCTGCGGGCCCAGGCTGGGCTGGAAGTGAGGCTCCAGGCAGGGGATGGGGAAGTGCGCACCCTTGGCTGCCCTTCTGCATAGGAGGGTGACCCAGCGCCCTCCCTCCTGCTAGTGTGAAAATCAGGGTCGGAGCCTCCCAAATCTATTAGCTCGGCGGAAACGTTAAGCCCCGGACACTGCCTCACGTAACTGGGCTGTTTTCTCGGTGCCTGACCGCCGCTTCCTGACCCTGTGCGGAGATGTTGCGCATCCGCCCGACTCCCTGTGCGCTATGAAAACCTGGACGAGGTGGCGCTGGCAGCAGAGACCCTGGTCACCGCTCCCTCTGTACAGTGTGATGTGAAGCTCCGAGGGCGTAACGACAGCAGCCGGTCAACCCTGACATCTGTGCACTAGCCTCCGTGGAAAATGCAGCCGTTCCGCACCTCCGCTTTTGTCCATATGAACGATCTTCCCCCTTCCCCACCGGGGTCACCGATCCCCGTTCCCCGGTGGCCGCCCTGACACCTCGCGCTGGAATAAACCCTCGTAACGGGACCCACAGCCTTTAGATGACGGCGGGTTTTGGCACTTGGGCAGGTGCGTGCAGAACGCCCTGTCCCCGCTCACCTTGTCTCTTCTCCGCCTGCTTCCTCAGCTTTTCTGAAGGGAAACGGGAGCGGAGAGGGCTGAGTGCGCGCCCCCGCCCCTTCCAGGCCGCCTTCCCGCGCCGCGTCCTGGGGGGAGGCGCCTCCGCGGCCCCGGGGTTCAGCACCGGCCGGTGCCCCTCCCCGCCCCGCCGCCCGCGCCGGTACCTCGGCTTCTCCGCTGCTTCCGGAGGACGCCCAGCGCCAGCGCCGCGAGGACCAACAGCAGCGGCAGGGTCGCGACGAACGCGCTCTTCCACGCAGAGGCTCCGGGTACGAACACGTCTGGAAAACACCCGCGGGGGCCGTGTCGGTCCAGGCGCCGCTGAGCACCGAGAGGCGAGACCGGCCTGCCCGCCGCGTGCCGGGAAACCTCCCGCGGGACCTTCTCCGGGCGCCACCGCAGCCGCCTGGGAAACGGGCGTGGAGCGGGAGCGCGCGCGGCGGAGGGGGCGGGGGCGCGCGCGGCGGAGGGGGCGGGGGCGCGCCGCGGGGCGTGCGGGAGGGAACCGCGCCCCAGCCCGGCTCGAGGCTTCTGCGGCCGCAGCGCCGCCCTCGCCCCGCGTCTTCCCGCCCTCGCCCCGCGTCCGCAGGCGGGAGGGTCCCAGGGGCTTGGCTGGCGGCGGATGTCCGGGGAGCTCCTGCTCGCACCCGCGCCGTCTGGTCCGCAAGTCGTCTCCTCGCTTGTTTGCAAACATCCGGCTTCTCCCTCGGTTCTTACCACGCTTTTGGAAGAAGTGAGAACCGAACCACGTGCGCGCGGCCTCGCAGCTCCCACGTCCCTCCCGGCTCCCCAGGGAGGACCCGCCCGCAGGCAGGACGTGGCCGGGGGCAGCGCCGACAGCACCAGCGGCGCAGGGACGCGCAGAACCCACCGGCCCTTCGCAAACCCTGTGGCGGTTGAATAGAGTAACTTTCTGTCTGTGTCATCTAGTTATTAGAAAATGGTGCTTTTATCTCAGATCTTTAAAAAATGTTCTTTTTATTGTAGTAAAATATACGTAACAACCTTTCCCATCTTAACCATTTTTAAGTGTACAGTTCAGGGGCATTAAGTGCATTCACCATGTCGTGTGCAACCATCACCCCCGCCCATCTCCAGAAGTTTCTTCATCTTTCAAAACTGAAACTCTGTACTTATTAAACAGTAATTCCTCTTCCCACGCCCAAGCCCCTGGCGCCCTCCGTATACTCTCCATCCCTGTGGACTTGACTCCTCTAGGTAATCCCACATCCGTGGAATCAGACGGCATTTGTTCTGTGTGTCTGGCTTATAAGTGACATCAGTGGACTGTGGTTTTTAATTTTGTTTTTCTAGCAGTGCATTTTTATTGTATGGTACAAAAACACTGGGTCACAATGGATTGGTCCTCACAACAGATGGTGTCTGAAGCAATGGCCTGGGGTCAAGGGCAAGGGCTCAGGGCGGACTGTCTCTCTGACCTGTGACCCTCCCCCTCGACCCTCTGGCCTCCTCGCTGTTCTGCCAGCAGCCGGCAGTTTCCCTCTCAGGCCCCTGGCTTTGCCCTTCCCGCCACCAGAATGCCTTCCCAAAGGTATCCATGTGAGTCACGCCCTCTGTAGAGGGGTCCGCGCATGCAAACATTTACCCATCTAAAAATTTTTATATAAACTTGTTTCATAATAAATATCAATAATATAAATTAAGATTTATATTAAAAGCTAAAAAGAAAATATTGGGTTTTTCCTGGTGCAAAAAGAGAGACTCTTTCCTCTTCCCCTCTCTTAGTTCATTTTCCTTAGAAAATATATCAGTTCTTTCTTTACAACCCAATAATGTTTTCCTTAAGGGCCACTTGTTTGAAATGTAAACATAAAAGAGAGAGCACTGCCGTGGAGATCCCTGTCTCATGGGAGTTTAGCTTAGCTGCGTGGCTCCAAGTTGTATGCCCTAGACGTATCACATGCTTGATTTTTCCTTTGGTTAAAGACAGTTGGCTCACACAGATGGCCATCCCAATTCCCACGGAATTTAGAACTGCTGTGGTAAGCGGTGTTGCCAGGTCCTCCTACTTGCAGACAAGTTATCATTTATCTTGAGAACATGTGTGCATTGGCTTGTATCTGACTGACTATATCAAAGGGGGAGTTTTTTTCTGTTATAATAAAATAGCTTTTGATTTGGACTCGTGTGAAAAGTGGCCCGTATGTTGGGTTTGTCCTTAAAATGTAAAACAATTAGAACCATGAACTTGAAACCCTTCAGTGGCTGCCTCATAATAAGACTTTAATAATGACCTTGCCTTCAGCTCACTGCCTACACGCCCACTTCCTGGACGTGCCTTTTGTAATCTGTGGACATGCCTCACTGCTTTCAGCCTGCTTCATTTTTCTCTACGGCACCTACCACCTTCTTCTTGTTTTTTTTTTTTTTGTTTTTTTTTTGAGACGGATTCTCGCTCTGTTGCCCAGGCTGGAGTGCAGATCTCGGCTCACTGCAACCTCTGCCCCCCGGTTCAAGCGATTCTCCTGCCTCAGCCTCCCGAGTAGCTGGGATTACAGGCGCCTGCCACTATGCCGGGCTAATTTTTGTAATTTTAGTAGAGATGGGGATTCACCATCTTGGCCAGGCTGGTCTTGAACTCCTGACCTCATGATCCACCCGCCTTGGCCTCCCAAAGTGCTGGGATTACAGGCGTGAGCCACTGCACCCGGCTGCACCTACCACCTTCTAACGTGATGTGACAGGATGCACTTCTTTTGCTTATTGTCTGTATCCCCCACTGGCATGGGGACCTGAGGGTAGGGACTGGGGTCACGTTGTGGAAACTCAATACATACTGTTTGAGAGACAGCATTACGAATCTATTGGCTCCCATGATGCCTCTGATGAGCAGAGTTGATGGGTTTTAGTGTATGGCCTTAGGCACAGAAAGGCGGGCTCTCTGGGGCCTCTCTCACTGACTGTTTGGGTTCTCAGTAGCGTTCTTAGTGTGTTCCTAATATCCAAGGTGCTGACTTTTCAGGTGTCAAGGCCAACACACCCTATATGCAGACAGGCGCAGTACCATTGTGTCTTTATAGACTGCCTTTGGGCCAATGTGTATGTACACATGAGGACTAGGAAGATGGGTGTGAGCTAACAGCCACTGACCTGCTATCTGGACCACCAACTCTTTCTTCTGGCTCAAGAGGAGATTCTGGATGGAGACGGACACATTGCTGAGGGCTCCCGCTCGGACAACCACAGATGTTTCCAGACTGAACAGGTCCTGGGCATCCCAGACGATGGCTTCAAACTCTGGAGGCAGGCACTGTCCCTGGTGGTCTCTCCACTGAACCTTAGGCTTGGGGTACCAGCCACTGGATCTGAGCCTCAGCTGAATGCCTCCTTCCTTGAAGCCCTCAAGGGAGAGGTGAGGGTCTGAGCCCAGCCCTGGTGGAGGCAGGAGGAGTGGGAAAGGTCAGGCTTCTTCTGAGAAATCACGCATAACATTCCTGCCACTGTTCAGCATTTGCAGTCACCATAAAGCATCATGAAGTGTGACTGCTATTAAGACGTGTGTGGGCTTGGCGCTCCCCGCCCATGGACGGGAAATGACAGTCTAAATCAGTGGTAGCATGTGGGGACAGTAATGCCCCTGAGGGACATTTGGAAATGTGAAGGGGGTCATTGGGTGGGGAAGGGCTCCTGGCATTTAATCATGTTAGGCAAGGGACAGTTTCCCTAGAATGAAGAATAGCAGCACCCTAAATTCTAATAATTAGAGTTGTGACTCTTCTCCTTCTCTTGAATTCCCCCAGAGCTCTAGTGCCTGCATTATACACACTCCCTTATCTCTCCATCCTTGTGGAACTAGCATTATATTTTGAGTATGCAAAACATTAATGTGGCATAAATGCCAATGCTGTACAGAAATGTGTATCAGGAAAAAAGCGCCATCCTTCCCGTCATCACACCTCACCCTCAGCGGCCAATCTCATCAGCTTCTAGTTTATCCTTCCTATGTTCCCTTTTGCAATGTTTCTCCTTCTTTCTTACAAAGCAAGTGTATGTTATCGAACCTTGCATCTTACTTTTCTCTCTTAACAATACTAGAAATCACTCTGCATCCATTCAGAGACCACCTCATCATTGTTTCAGATGCATAATACAGATTACTCCATTGGGTGGATAGAGCATACTCAGCTTTTATGCTTGGACATTTAGGTGGTTTCCACTATTTTGCAATTGTTTTTAAAAAGCTTTACAAAGATTAAACTCATACATATGCTTTTTTCATATTGGAGGTATCGGAGGTGGAGTAAGTTCCTGGAGGTGGGATTGCTGTGTCAGAGGGTAGCCACACAGCTAGTCCTCTTAAGTATTACCAAATTTCCCTGTCCGGGAGCTTTCCAACTTTGAATTCCACTAACATAGTATAAGACAGCTTTCTTCTCCATAGCTCCATTAACAGTACATGGAAGAGCTTTTGAAATTTTGCTAGTCTGACAGTTAAAAAAAAATTGCATTTTGACATAGCTTTGATTTGCCTTTCTCTCACTATGAGTAATTTTGTTACTCAATATATTATATATTATATATATTATATAATATATATTATTTTTATATTATATATATTTATATATCATATATATGATATATTATATAACTAATATAATTATATAATATTATATAACTAATATAATTATATAATATTATATAACTAATATAATTATATAATATATAACTATATAATTAATATATAGCATACTATATATATCTATATCTATATATATAGATAGATATATATATAGATATATATATATATTTCAAGACAGAGTTGTCACCCAGGCTGGAGTGCAGTGGCAAGTCAAGCTCACTGCAGCCAGATCCTTCCACCTCACCCCCCTGAGTAGCTGGGACTACAGGCACGCACCACCACACCTGGCTAAGAGATGGGGTCTCCCTATGTTGCCTGGGCTGGTCTCGAACTCTGGAGCTCAAGTGATCTGCTTGCCTCGGTCTACCAAAGTGCTGGGATTACAGGCTTGAGCCACTGTACCCGGCCCTTTTCATATATTTAAGGGCTATTTGTGTATTTTTTGGTGAACTGTTTGTTTTGTTTGTTCATTTGAGAATGGACCTATCCATCAGCTTTTATGTTTTTTAAAAATCACCGACATTCTTCTGTTCTCTGTGACTCCACCTCTACTTGGCAAAGCACCTGGATCTCCCTCTCCTCTGCAGGGCCTTAGGTCAGTCCACGCACCTGCTACCTCCAGTTCCCAGAGAGCTTCGCCAGAGAAGTTGTCGGAGTGGAAGCGGCAGCCATATGTGCCCTTGTCAGAGGGGATGATGCTGTGAAGCTGCAGGACCACGCTGCCATAGGCGATGTCGTCCTTGACCAACTTGGTCCTGTTCCGGAACGCCGGCATCTGCCTGCCAGGGAGCTCCTGCTGCTCCTGGTACAGGTGTACCACATTGAAGGTCTGACTCCGGAACCAGCGGATCTCCATTTGCTGGGCATCCAGCTGTGGCCATAGGTGGCACGGGAACTCCACCTCCTCCCCGACGAGGGCCAGGATGGGATACTCAGGGCCTAGCACCTTGACCTCTAGGATGACAAGTCAGAACAGGCAAAAGCAACCCTCATCCAATTTTTAAAAAAGTTATCACACCCCTTTATAGCTGAGGAATCTACAGTAAACCATAAAAACAAGAAAGGTGAGATACTCTACAGGACAACTGGCCTAGATCCTTGAACAAGTAATTTTTACGAAAAAACGTTGAGTGCACGATTAAACAAATACACAGGTGACATCACAACCAGATTTGTGGTGCTGAGCTGGTAACTGGTTTCATCCAACCAGGTACAAATGTTATTTTGGGGACAATTATGTAAATATGACCAAGGCATTAAGCGAAATGGAATCTTTGATCAAAAAAGCAAGTGTCAAAATAATCTGTAGAATATTATCTTAAGTAAAAAACATACGTATTTGCATAAATGTGCAGAGAAAAATACCTGAAAGGAGACATCAAATTGCTGATGGTGATAATTTCTGCATGATGAGAATAGATATTTTCTCATTTTTGCTTGTCTGATTTTCCAAGTTTAAAAAATAATTCACATGTACAGCTTCTACAAAGGGTATCAAAAATCATCCATGAGGGCTTCCTGCTCCACAGGTTTTCTTATCAAAAGGCCAACCAAATCCTTCCTTTGAGACTCATTTGTTGGGATCTTTCATTTGATCACCCTCCTCTTTGACGGCTTCTTCATGGGGCCTCTCTGCTCCCTGTGGTCTGGTCTGTTGTCTGCAGTTCCCATGAGAGTTGCTGCTCCTGCACAGTTCTTCCGCACGCACGGTTCCCTGCCACCCCACAGGCACTCACTCTTCTCTCTGGCCTCTGTACTTCTCCTCTCCTTTCTTTCCAAGTTCAGCTAAAACTCCATCCCAAAGCTCTCTTGTCATGGACACCCCTGTCCTGCACTTGGCCCACAGGAAATGGAGGGACCTTCCTTTGTTCACACTATTTGAGGCACCTCATTGCCCGCTGGGTGAGTATCCAATACCCTTCCTACAAGTTTCCCTCTCCAGGTTCTCTCCGGCTGTCTCTCTCCACACACCGATGTCTGACTGTTTCCCTGGGCACACCCTACCTCAGCTAATCCCCTACCTGTCAACTTCCTGGGGAACGTGCATCCTGTAAGCCTCTGCTCCAACTATATTCCCACTCTACGGCTCTCCTCAGCTTTCCGGGAACAAATCATTGCTCTTAGCTGTGCTCCCAAGGTCTTTGGACACAATTCTCTCTCTCTCTCTCTCCCTCTCTCTCTCGCTCTCTCTCTCTCTCGCTCTCTCTCTTTCTCTCAGCCATGGTCACATAAATGGACAGCCATTTATGCCACATCCACACCCCTCCCTTGACTACAGACTGCTGAAGACCTGGGCTATGTTGCAGTCACCTTGGTATTCCTGGTTTCCAGCCCAGGAAATTAGGAAATTACCTTTGAATTATTAGTTTGCACCCTCTGTTGGCTACATCTTTCATGAGAGAAGATTTGCAAGGGGTAAAATTAAAAACGTATATCAATGGGTTCAGCACAAACACAGGCCAGTGAGTTTCCTGGCACCGTCTTGCTCTGCTCCCTGCTATGCCTGTGGATTTCGGAGTGCTGGGAAGTGTGCAGGAGGTGTTGGGGGCTGGAGAGATGGTGGAGGAACACTACAGGCTGGGGAGATGGTGGAGGAGGTGTTGGGGGCTGGAGAGATGGTGGAGGAACACTACAGGCTGGGGAGATGGTGGAGGAGGTGTTGGGGGCTGGGGAGATGGTGGAGGAGGTGTTGGGGGCTGGGGAGATGGTGGAGGAGGTGTTGGAGGCTGGGGAGATGGTGGAGGAGGTGTTGGGGGCTGGGGAGATGGTGGAGGAGGTGTTGGGGGCTGGGGAGATGGTGGAGGAGGTGTTGGGGGCTGGGGAGATGGTGGAGGAACACTACAGGCTGGGGAGATGGTGGAGGAGGTGTTGGGGGCTGGGGAGATGGTGGAGGAGGTGTTGGAGGCTGGGGAGATGGTGGAGGAGGTGTTGGAGGCTGGGGAGATGGTGGAGGAGGTGTTGGGGGCTGGGGAGATGGTGGAGGAGGTGTCGGGGGCTGGGGAGATGGTGGAGGAACACTACAGGCTGGGGAGATGGTGGAGGAGGTGTTGAGGGCTGGAGAGATGGTGGAGGAGGTGTCGGGGGCTGGGGAGATGGTGGAGGAACATCACTACAGGCTGGGTAATGCTCGGGGTAGTGGCTCTTTAACAACCAGGATGGAAGTCTTTTTTGTATTTTAGCGTCTGGCACGCCCTGGTACTGTGCTAAGATCGTAGCCCTGGGGAGCACCTGGCAGGAGGGGTGGCGTTCACATCCTGGCCAGCTAGGCTGCAGACACAATACCTGAGCTCGGCTCCCCAGGCTGAAGGAGGAGGAGGTGCATGAGGAAGACAAGACTGCTGGTCAGCGATACTGGCTTCAAGGAGTCTGGGGAGACTGAGAGGTCCACCATCTCTCGTCAGCAGTGGGGGCCACCTGGAGAGGGACAAAGGGGTGCTGGAGCGACGTGCAAAGGTAGGGGGAGCTGGAACTCACTCCATCAGACCTGAAGTCTGTTGTGGCCTCAGTTATTTTTGTCTAGTTCTCAAATTCCTTACAAGCCTCAGCGCTTGGCTTCTTCCATGGCCAGAGGGGAGAGCTGCTTCTAATTTTCCCAGGGGACACTGTTAATGGCATCCGTGGCCTTGCCCAGGTTCACAGAGCTGCAAGGGGACGAGGCTGAAGGATCCCAGAGGAAGCAGCTTCTGTGCTGCTTATTGTTTAGAGCCAGGAATAGAGCCACACAATGTGTGGGGGCTCAGCGCCCCCCCTTTTCTGGGCTTAGCGACTTTCCTCAAACAAAGGGCAATCTCTGAAGATCTCAGATGCATTTTCATTCTTCCTGCCTCACCACCACCAACCCAACCTTCGTCCCACTTCCCTTTGGTCTGGAACATCGAGTCCGCAAAACAGAGGAACAAACACAGAGTTCTGCTCTCTCAGAAGTGGAGTGCATGCAGGTGGCTGCCTGCCAGCCCCAACGACATCCTAGGACACTCTCCTCCAGGCCTGGGACCTCAAGTTGTGCCTTCAGGAGGCCAGCTGGTAACTGTCTCTGTGTCGATAGCATCTTCGGGGCTACAGTGATGGAGTCATCCCATCTAGCCACCCCTTCCTCATCTATGACCCAGGAGGCCCAGACCTGGCCCAGACAAGGGCTACCCCCTCACTCCTGATGCTCTGCTCCCTTGGGACCCACTAATGACTCACGGCCAGAGAGTGTGCTGCTGCCAATGAGTCTCTGGAGATACACAAAACTCTCCATATTTCTCTTGCATTTAGTTCTGCAAGATTTTAGGCAGATTCTGTCATTGGCTGGACCGAAATCTCTGCCTGAACCATGGAAGAAACCAATGCCCACTCCCATGGGTTGCTAGGAGCTCTTGAAATCAAAGTCAGCACCTCCCTTCCCCCTGCCTTCCCAACGCCCACGCACTGTCTTCGTCCTGGGACTGCACCCCTTGCCTTTCACTTCATCACAGTGCCCTTGTTGGAAGGCCACGGTGGGCTCCTCTCTCCAACCCTCTCTGTCTCCCCGTCGGCCCCCACGGCTTGGCTTTTCTTCCGAGACCTTGGCATGGCAGGTGTTTCCGGTGTCCTGTGGCCACAGGGCACTGGCCACACTGTCAGCAACACCATCAGCAGGTGTGAAGGAAGGACTTTCAAAGCTGCTGGGCCATGCAGAGGCAGAAGGATCAGAGGAGGTGTGCAGGGTGAGTTAATGAGGTGGTAGAGGCTCCCCAGGGACCCTTAGGCTAGGAGGCACCCAGACAGGCAGGAATACAAGGGAAGAGGGGTGGCCTGTGAGGCGCATGGGCTGATGGCCCTGTCTCCTAGAGCTAAAATTGAGGGGACAAACAGAGGACAGGTTGGGACAGCTCCAGGTGTGTTTCAAGAAGGTTCAAGGACAGGAGGTGGGGTCCCCCCGAAGCGGGGCCGTGTTGACACCTCTCAGTTATTGGAACACGATTCACACAATAACCAGCATGGGCAGAGGCCTCGGGCAGGGTCCAGGCCCTGGCTGGACAGTCCAGACTCTCACCCTCTGTGGCTACTGGTGGAAGCCTCTCTGCGACAGGTGGGGAAGCTGGCAAGGAAGGGTTCCAGCAAAGGGGTCTACACTGGTTGTGCACCTTCTCACCCTCTCTTCTGTTCCCTTCTCTTTTCCTTTATACTTCAGTCTTTTCTTCTGGATTCTAGACACAGGTTAGAGCTCCATGACAGCAAAACCAGGAGGGGCACGTCAGTGTTCAGCTAGTAACTTCCAAAACCAAGAGGGGCTCAGGGTGTGTTTATGCATCCATTCAGATGGGTTGGGTTCTGGGGAATTAGTCGAGGTTGTGTTAGGTTGTGACACAGGTCTGCTCATAAGGTGGTAATGGGGCGCGAGACAGGTCCCACAGCTGGCCTTCTCACAGAAGGAGCACTCACTCCAATTTCCCTGGACTGGGGGCAGGCTGCCACCTCCTGGGGACAGGGGATTGGGGCAGGATGTTCCAGAACCGTGGAAGTGCTAGAGGGACCTCAGTTCTCTGTTGTG
Source organism: Homo sapiens (assembly GCF_000001405.40). Taxonomy (NCBI): domain Eukaryota; kingdom Metazoa; phylum Chordata; class Mammalia; order Primates; family Hominidae; genus Homo; species Homo sapiens. The sequence continues at coordinate 181,043,362 of NC_000005.10, read as the reverse complement.
ATACACCCGTGTGATTCCCATCATGGAATCTTCAGGGGAGGAGGATTGTAGACACACACACACACACACAGACACACACACATGCACACACACACAGACACACCCATGCACACACACACAGACACACACATAGACACACACACAGATGCACACACACAGACACATACACACACACACACGTGCTGACAGTAATAAAACTAACATGCATTGGGTACTTCCTATCTATCAAACACTTATCTATACCTCAGTATTATTATTTTTATTATTATTATTACTAATAGGTCCAAATTATAGATAAGGAAACGGAGGCCCAGGAGCTGAGTGACTTGCTCCTGCACACAGTGGGTGAGTGGTGGGGTGGGGTTCCACCCACTGTCTGGTTCCAGAGCCTCGCTCTGCACTTCTCGAATTCAGATTCCTCACCAGCTACGTCGTGTGTCTGGGTACACCCTTCCGTCACTCCTGTTACCCAAAACCATGACCGTCTCAGGAACCAGCTGGCCACAGACCAAACACTCACCCTAACCTGCCATCACACAGAGGCACTGAAGAAGCGACCGGCTCACACGGTGCCAGCCACAAAACCAGCCAACCAGCCAACTAATGAATACAAAATTTAAAATCCCGCTGCCAGATAAAACAACTTAAAGCTGAGGTCTCCCTAAGACTTTGTCAAGAGCATCTTCTGAGCCAGGAGGAACAGGTACCTGGTCCCTTTGCTCCCAACACTCAAGGGTATCATCTTGAAAGCCTTTAGCAGAGAGAGATGGTCTGGCAGCTTCCTGAAGGGAAAAGTCAGCGGCTCCTGGACAGCACCCTCCTCCCCGTTTGCTGCTGTGCGTCCGCCCTTTCTGACCTCACTCTTCAGTTAAGGATCCAGGGTGCTCAATCCTTACTTGAAGCGTAAGTCCCCTCCTCGAAGGAAACACTTTCCACCCTCTGCTATTTTGATTACAGTGTAAATTGATTTCAGGTTGTTCCTGGTGAGGAGGTTTTGCCTGGGGAAGGAGTAAGGGACTGGACGCGTCGGATATTTGGGGAAGAAGGAAAACCCAGTGTGCGCAAGGACCACAAAGGGGTCCTCCAGCTGGAGCTGAGCTCTGCCGGCGGGCACGTGCTGCTTGTCCTCCCAGGAGCCTTGGGCTGCTCCCTCCGGAAGGCACAGGGAGAAATAAGGGGTCCTGAGAAATGTCACTGCCTGCACCCAGCAAAAGCCCATTTCTTTCTTCTCCTTCTCTTTTTATTTTTCTTTTCTTCTTGCTCTCTCATTGCCCCCAGCCCGCCCCACTCCTGTTCTCTCCTCCTGCACCTGCAATTCCTAAACAACCCTGATGTTTTTCTGATTTCCGGTCCCTCCGTCGAGTCTGTCTTTAAAGATGAGTACTTTTTGCTTTGCTACTGTTATTTTTTTAGATAATTTATTGTTAAATAAAGAATTTTAAAGCAAAATGCAGTGGGACAGATGTCAAAGGCAAGTTGAAAACATAATTTCTGTCAAATACTATTCTGGATTTCCTAAGGTTAGGCACAAGAAAAGCATCAAATGAAAAGGTACTTACTCAAACTAAGTCTTTTTAAAAAGTCTGTATTTGAAAGGAAAACAACTTTTCACTAAAAATATAAATCATTCTTATTACAGGAAAACCATAATTTAAGAGACTGAGAAAAGTTTTTGATTCACAAATAAATGGCATCTCCCTAATACACTTAGGACTGTTTGTTTTTAATCAGTGACTCTTAAAAATCACTGCTTCCACCTGACAAACTCAGGCGAATCACTATGGATTGGTGTCCTCTGAGCCACCCTGAAGCATCCCATTTTCTCTACACATGTCCTTTTCTCCAACTTTCAGCAAAGCAAGAATGGAGAAAAAGAGGATTAGAAGGAACTTCAGTTGGTTCCCTGGTGAATAACTTAACAAAATAAAACCTGCTTTTCCATTTGTATTACACATTCACAATCTCTCACTCTTACTTACTCTATTGGTGAATTTCAGATTCTGTCCACACATATAATTATTTGCCTGAACTTAACACTATCTTCCTGACAAATAGTAAATCTCCCAAGGACATCTCCGAACCTGGCAGTGTCCACAGGCCACGTCCTCCCACAGGAGTCCCTCGCCTGCTATGCAGCTGTTGGCGTCCTGAGCGATCCCAGTGTTTCCATGGGGGCAGAGCAAAACCTTGGGGATTCTCTAACATAATTTTAAGACTACATTTCACACTTAAATGACCACGTTATGAAACCTGGCAGGAAAATCCATGTTATTAATAAATGCCATGTCTCTTGCTCTCCCAAACACAGGAAGTATTTTTTGCTCTGCATATGTCTGCGGAGACTGTGGGGTCCCAGAGTGGAAAACTTCTCTAGTAACAAAGTACAGAAATTATCCCTGAAGTATAGTCTTTGCTTTGCTACTTCTGTAAGCTGTGTAACTGGTGAATTTTGCCTGTCTCCTGTCCTCCACTCCCCAAGCTGCAAGTCCGCAGGTGTCAGTGGGGCCTTGGCCCTCTCCCACGGGCCTCCCCGACACCCCCTGCAATGCCCTTCCCCCCGGCAGACCCCAGCTAGTGCTCACTGCCTGCGCTGGTTTGATTTCGATAGGTCCACAAGAGGATTTCCACCCTCTTAGTCTCTAAGGAAGATGGACTGCCCCAAGAAGGGAACCGCAATGAGGCTTGAAATCTTTTTCGTCTGGTGGGGGCAATGGGATGTATCAGGATCCTGCCTCCTGAGATGCGGCCCACCTAAACGGGCGTGGACATCTCCTCTTGGCCACACTCGAAACATCCCATGCTGCGGCCAAGCTCGGATAATAAAATGGTGCCACTAATTGTACGCCTTCCCAAAGCCTCCCACCTTCATTTTCTGATTGCCGTTTCTGAAAGATGGAGGTGTAGGCAGCTGTTGAGAATGAGCCACTTACCTGGCAGGTAGCAGCAAAAGGTCTGAAATGGCAGATGAGTCCTGGTGAGCTCACCTCCTCTGCAAAGGGTGATGATTGCTGTAAAGTGTCTTGGTCCCAGATGCTAAGATTCCCTAGACGTGGACTGGCAGCTGAGCTCCAGAGGCCAGGGCACGTGTGACAGAATTATTTATCCATCTTCCACCCTAAGATATATGCCGTTTGCTCTGCCCTTGGCTATGGAAACCAAGATGGATAGAACAAAACAAGGAAGTCGTCACATCCTGTCTCTGAGAAAAATCTTGAATTCCCATGTAAAATATCTCTCCAGGGTCACAGAAGGAGGGGAAAGGTATCTGAGAGCTTTGTAGAGAGCGACAGCTGCAGAGGCTCAAAGTGAGGAGAAAACGCTCCAGCTGGGTTCAGGGTCTTTGTGCCAGTGAAGCTCGGACTCCAAGGAGGCAGGGTAGCAGTCCCCGAACAGTGAAAGAGAGTAGACTGCAGTCTCCACTAACTAACCACGAGGAAGGGGCTGATGACCAATTTTTAACCCACCATAACCTTCTCCTCAGGACAAGGTCAGTAAGGAACAAATCCTGGGGGCATTGTCGTGAGGCAACCTGCAAAACCTGTTCACGTGCAACTTAGAAATGCAGGAGGGTGCTGGATTGGGATTTCTCTAGTGGAGAAGAGGTCAGAAAAGAAGCAGCAAGCACTACCCCAGCCCAGCCCACCCCATCTTACTGTAGGCCATGGTGCAACTTGGGCATTAGCGGACTGAGGCACCAGCCACCCAGCTGCAGCCCACACTGACGTCCCCTCCAGGGAACAGGCCAGAGCTGAGGCACGAGCAGCTCAAGCACATGCAGTGTTGTGGGAAACTGAGGACCGGAGAGACCGATGTGAAGAACAGGAGGATTGTTTATTTTAGGTACACACCGGCTCAGTGGACTCACATCCAAAAAGCTGAGCATTAAACAAAGACAGAGCGGGGTTTTTGTAAGTGGACTTACAATAAATAAAACAAAAGCAGCTAATCATGATAGGTCACATAATCTATAGCATAGCATAACTTGTGGCCTTGCACAGCGGGTGACTTTGTAGCTGCATTGAAAGAAAAACAAGAACTGGCTAAGTACAGACATTTGTAAAACACAATCATGCTTAAGAAGCCTGGGAAAACAGTAACAGTAAAAGAATTTGTCTTTCTCTCTTTTTCCTTCAACCTTGCTCTGGAAGTGGGGCGGCGGGTATCTGGAGCCCATTCCTTTGGCCTTGGCTTTCTGGACACTGTTATAACTGTCCTTGCAGTGGGCTTGCTATAGGCAGAGGAAAACTTGTCCTTTACTTTTTAACCCTTGCCTTGCCTGTTACTTTTCTTGGAGTGAATGAAGGCATATGTATTTTTAAATTTTCTGCCTCAGTAGCACACCCCAGGGACTCCCAGAAGTGCCTGTGTTTGTAGAGGGGCCTCTGCAGGTGACAGGGCGCTACATGGGTGGGAGACGGGAGCCAGCAAGCTTCAGGCATGGACCTGGAGGTGACTGTCTGTGCTCAGACAGGCTGGTGAGACTGGGCACCCAGGCTTATTAATGTGAACAGATGTCCCTAGGACAGCAAAAGGGGCTGAACAGTGAGCTCAAACAGTGGGTGCAGTTCCCCGGGCCTGGGGAGACAGAGGAGGGCTCAAGGACAGGGTATACTTAAGATGGATGCTGCATAAACAGTAGGATCAGGGAAGCCATGGGCAGCCCGGGAGGACAGAGCCTGCGAGGACAGACATTCTTCGTGGAGGGAGGTGATTAGCATGTGGGAGGTAGGAAAAGGCTAGGGGTTAGCCAGACCAGTGTGTGGCTCACTAGTGGAAGGGAAGGTTGAACAGAAGTGGATGGGACCACATTGCAGAGGCCCTTGCATGCCACATAGGGAAGTGAAAGAGAAGGAAAATTGCACTTGTAGAGAGGGGCTGCTCGAAAACGAGAACATGGCCTAAACTTTTCATTGCCCTTAGGTTGGATTCCTCCATGCTGCCTGGGGAGAGGTGAGATTGTCACAGCAGAAATGCAAAGAGAGAGAGAAATGGGCAGAGTCCACTTCTGTGGCTCCTAGACACAGCCCTGGTGGGATGTGGGAGGGGGACCCCACCTGCCACCACCGCCTGCATATCAGGCGCATCATGCAGTAGGAAAGATGTAGACAGCGGCTGTCCCTGCCAGCCGAACCTCCCATTCCAAGACCCAGTAAATGCATAAAGGCTCAGATCCAAAATGAAGGTAGGTGCTGAACCCCTGGCGGACTATAGGTGCCACTGGAGAGAATGGACCCTCATCTGTCCTTGTGTGGGATTTTTGGGTGTCAATTTTCTTCCCAGAAACCTCTGTGGCACCTGAGTTCTTGTCCTGCCTCCAGGAAGAATGAGGTCATGAGGTACACAGACAAGTGAAGGGTGAAGAAGATGCAGAGAAGCTTTATTGAATGCTAGAACAGCTCAGAGGTGATCTGCAGTGAGCTCCTCTCTGTAGGTAAGTCCTCCCCTCCCACTGAGTGTTCAGCTCTCAGCAGAGAAGGCCCTTGAGAGGGTAGCTCCTCTCTGCCCACTGGTCCTCCTGCCACCTGCTGCTCTCAGCAGACAGAAGTCCCTGGAGAGAGTGGCTCCTCTCCACAGGCAAGTTGTTCTGAACACCTCTGCAGGTCTCTGAAGCTCTCAGCAGAGAGGGTAGCTCCTCTCTGCAGCTGGCCATCCCATCGTTTCTCCATCCTCTGCCCTGCTCTGGCTGAGCCTCAGGCTTTTATGCACCTCAGAGGGGAGGAAGTGCATGCTGATTGGTCCATGGGCAGCCAGAGGGAGACACCACAAGTCCCCACTCCAGTCAGAGGGACTGGCAGCCAGGCCTTCAGGCCCTCCCTGGCCTGAAGGCGGGGCCTTACTGGGGACCCGCCTTCTCCCTCCAGGGACTCTGTCTGCCTCCCACTGCCATTTATGGTCCCTGGCTAGGCCCCAACCCCGCTCTGAGAGTGGGAGCAGAGAGAGGCCAGGCAGTGGGAAGCAGACAGCCCTGAGCCTGCAGGGATGGGGGTTGGGGGGCTGGGTACAGGGTGGTTCTTCCCAGGCCCTGGAGGTGCAGAATGCACAGATGCCGGGGTCCTGCTCCTGGGAGGGTGGCCGAAGCTGCACCCGGGGAGCTCCTGCCCCATCAATTCGGAAGGGGCAGGGCTCCTGCTTGTCCTGGCTCCTGCCTCCTCCGTGGAGCAGGAGGCTGAGGTCTGCAGCTGTGGGTTGGGTGGCTGCAGCTGCACGCAGAAGGGCAGATCCTGCCTGCCCCTGGCTCCCACCCAGGAGCTCAGGGAGGCTTGGATCCACAGCTGCAGTTTGGGTGGCTGTAGACCCACACAGGAGGGTTGGGATCCTGCCTGATCTGTACAGCAGGAGGCCTGGGTCTGCAGTCACAGTTTGGGTGACTGCAGCGGTACCCGGGGAGCTCCCGCCCCATCTCAGAAGGGGCAGAGCTCTTACTGGCTCCGTGAAGTATGCAGCCCCAGCCAGGCCTCCCTGCTGCAGCCCCTGTGATGGCAGCGGCCATCACGTGGAGGGAGGTGATTGGCACGTGTGGGGTAGGAAAGGCTAGGGGCTAGCCAGGCCAGCATGGAGCCATCACTTGGACAGCGGAGAACATGCCCCATTATATAGCTTCCGTGGTGCACAGCAGCCCTCACCATGAGGTCGTCTGAGGGAATTCTGGAGGGGCTAATGGGAGAATCCTCATCCCCAGGGCAAAGGCTATTCTCACGCCCAGCGTGGGCTACCAGTGGAGATAGAAGCAAAGTCATGCCAGCCTCGCAAGTAGTGAATTCCTCCTTTTCTGACGATCCCCCATCCACCTTCCCCGGCAGCCCACAACATGGCCCTTGAGCTTCCTTACTGCATTTTCATTTTCTCCTGTTCCGTTCTCCAGGGAGCTCACACTGACATTCTTGTGCCTGTCAGCTGGCACAGTGCCCCCCATTGTGCTTTGTCACACAGATAGAGACGTGCACAGGCACTGGGAGATAGGAGAGGCCCACTGCTGCCCTCACAGCCACAGGTGCTCATCTTTGGCTCCTGAGATTGTGGGGGCTGCAGGAGCCACACACACCCTCTACTCCCAAACAGCCTGACCTCGCCAAGGCAAGCCATTTTCGAGGGTGACTTGAGTGGTGCTGCCCAAAGGGATCAGCACGGAGCATCCCTAGCTCGGAGGAATTCCTTCACTGCAAGAAGTAGCCAGCACCTTCTCCTGACACACAGAAGTGGGTAGAATAAGGAGCTCCAGCTGCGGGCTTACGCCAGGTAGAGTGAGCATTGGTTATGGAGGAGACCCCGTGAGAACAGCGCTCATCTGAGTCCCGACCATTGGTTATGGAGGAGACCCTGTGAAAACAGTGCTCATCTGAGTCCCGACCATTTGTAGGAGGGAAGTGGGTTGGTGCCCTTATATTACACCTTTTCAGAGAGCCAGCCAAAACGCAGTTTGACAGGGTTTGAGTTGCATAAACAGGTGGTAATAATAATAATAATAAACTAGGGGGAGCTGAGCGTGGTGGCTCACGCCTGTAATCACAGCACTTTGAGAAGCTGAAACAAGGGTCTTGTTTGTGTCCAGGAGTTCGAGAGCCCAGAAGTTCTAGACCAGCCTGGGCAACACAGTGAAACCTTGTCTCCATTACAAATTAAAAACAAATAACCAGGTCGTTTCTTAAAGAGGGTGCTCTTGGTTATTCAAACCTGCTGTCCCCGGCAGACGGTGGGTTCTCCTGTTTCATCCACACTCTCTCCAGGCACCTTTAGGGAACAAATAATACTGTTTGCTTTAACAGGAGGAGAACTTTTGAAGAAAAAAATTATGTTAAATTTCCAAATAAGGCAAAAAGGTAGGTAACATGTCCTTTCAGTGTCATGTGGGCACTGGCCCAGCCACAGATTACTTATGGAAGTGTACTTTGATTACTGTTTGCCATTACTTAAAAACCCCAGATTTAGTGAATTTGCATAATTAACTTGTAGACTTTTGCCCAGTAGAGTTGCAAATAATTTTTTTCTTTTTTGAGACAGGGCCTTGCTCTGTCACCCAGGCTGGAGTACAGTGGCACAGTCACAGCTCACTGCAGCCTCAACCTCCCAGGCTCAAGTGATCCTCCCACCTCAGCCTCCCATGTCACTGGGACCACAGGTGACCAGCTAATTTTTTAATTTTTTCTTTATAGAGATGAGGTTCTCATTATGTTGCCCAGACCGGTCTCATACTCCTGGGCTCAAGCAATCCTCCCCCTTCAGCCTCCCAAAGTGCTGGGATTATATACACGAGCCACTGCATGCATCCAGATAATTTCTATCCAGTAGAAAAATACAACCCAAAAGGTTATGGTGTATCGCCTTCTAAGAGATTATCCAGTTCTGTAGATAAGGCAGCAGTCTTACCACAACGTTTCTGTATTAAACTGCCTCTAAATATCTAATTCCTTTTTTTAAAAAATAATTCCTGAAGTGCTTCCTGAACTAGTCTTTACCACGTCATTGGTTACCTCAAATTAAGGGACTGAATAAAATCTATTACACATGATCATTTTATAATTGAATGAGTCATGTTTTAAAAGTTTTTTGAAAATTGTACTTTGACAAGTTGTCAGCCTAGAAACAGCTTTTCTTACAAGTCCTCTGACCCTGGTCTTAATGAGCAGTGCCTGTCAGGACCCATCGGCCTGGCCTCACCAGGACTGTGTGCTCCCTGCGTCCCAATACACCCCCAGCAGAGCCAGGATCAAATAAGATCATATGGAAAATATTGTCAACTGGGCTTCAAACAGTGCCTTCCTTCTAAATACTAGAGGTCCTTTAATGCAAGAAATGTTTAAAAGAGTACTTTTTAAAGTATTTAAAAGAGTACTGTTATTATTTTATTACTTTCTAAAATGTTAGATTTGGGGATTAGGAGTTATCATTTGGCTTTTTTTTTTGAGACGGAGTCTTGCTCTGTCGCCCAGGCTGGAGTGCAGTGGCGTGATCTGGGCTCACTGCAAGATCTGCCTCCTGGGTTCACGCCCTTCTCCTGCCTCAGCCTCCCGAGTAGATGGGACTACAGGTACCCGCCACCATGCCCGGCTAATTTTCTGTATTTTTTTTTAGTAGAGATGGGGTTTCACCGTGTTAGCCAAGATGGTCTCCATCCCCTGACCTGGTGATCCACCTGCCTCGGCCTCCCAGTGTGCTGGGATTACAGGCGTGAGCCACCGCACCTGGCCTTGGCTTTTTTTTAAAGAGACAGGATTTCACTCTGCCAACTAGGCTGTACGTAATGCAGTCCAGTGATCCTAGCTCTCCGCAGCACTCTCCGAACTCCTGGGCTCAGGTGCTCCTTCTGCCTCAGCCTCCCCAGTGGCTGGGACTACAGGTGTGCACCACCACGCTGTGAGAGTCAGGGCTGCGAGTCATCAACACTGACTTACTGGGTCCTTACTATTTACACTTCCTCCAGGGTTACAGCTACATTTTTGAACAAATACCTTTCAACTAAGGAACTTTTACAAAACTTCAGAAGGGAAAAAATTATACTACTCATTAACAATTGTGGAAATAAAATACTTGAAACATTTCAAGCAAAATGAGCCTGTAACAAAATAAAGTGATGAGACATATAACACGTGAACCGGTGGTGAACAAAACCACCAAAACGAGTGAACAGAAAGTGGTGATATAAACAGATAACTTAAAGATAACGAAGTACCTGACAAACACAAGACAGAAGCCATGCAATTATTTCTCTGGTAAAACAAGACCTGGAAAGATAGGGAAAAGATGCAGAACGGAACATGGTTAGGAGATTGTTGCTTTTTACTACAGTGCTTTTTGTCAAATTTTACTCTTTAAACGTGAGCATGCATTACTTTCATAGGAATAAGTTTCCAGTAATTCAATGAGACTTTTTAGTCCTAGCCAATCTAGGATGTCAAGTCAGGTTTTAGGTGAGTAACTCAGCTAGGTTTTTGTTGGCTGTACGGTGTCCAGAATTCGTGGGTTCCTGGTCTCGCTGACTTCAAGAATGAAGCTGCAGACCCTCGCGCTGAGTGTTACAGTTCTTAAAGATGCTGTGTCTGGAGTTGTTCGTTCCTTCCGGTGGATTCGTAGTCTTGTTAGCCTTAGGAAGTGAAGCTGTAGACCTTCAAAGTGTTACACTTCACAAACACGGCGCGTCTGGAGTTATTTGTTCCTCCCATCTGGATTTGTTTGTCCCTCCCAGTGGGTTCGCCATCTGGCTAGTTTTAGGAACGAAGCTGCAAACCTTCCTGTGAGTGTAACAGCTCATAAAGGCACCATGCACCCAAAGAGTGAGCAGCAAGATTCACTGCAAACGGCAAAACAACAAACTTCCCACAGCGTCCAAGAGAACCGACCGAGTTACCACTGCTTGCTGGGGCAGCCTGCTTTTACTCCCTTATCTGACCCCTCCCACATCCTGCTGATTGGTCCATTTTACAGAGAGCTGATTGGCCCATTTTGACAGGGTGCTGACTGGTGCATCTACGAACCTTGAGCTAGACACAGAGTGCTGATTGGTGTGTTTACAATCCTTTAGCTAGACACAGAGTGCTGATTGGTGTGTTTACAATCCTTTAGCTAGACACAGAGTGCTGATTGGTGTGTTTACAATCCTTTAGCTAGACACAGAGTGCTGATTGGTGTGTTTACAATCCTTTAGCTAGACATAAAAGTTCTCCAAGTCCCACCGGACCCGGAAGCCCAGCTGGCTTCACCTCTCAATGGCACTCCGCGCAGACTTTGCGGCACCCAGCCCGGGCACTCCAGCAGCCCAGAGGGAGCTAGTTCCCCAATCAAGTCCAGTAGGCGCCGGCCGGTGTGGGGACCCGCAGAGCCCGCTCCCACCCGGAACCCCCGCCGGCCAGCGAGCGCCGCACGCAGCCCCGGCTCCCGCCAGGGCCTCTCCCTCCACAACTCCCCGGAGCAGAGGGAACCGGCTCCGGCCTCGGCCAGCCCCAGAGACAGGCTCCCACAGCGCAGCGCGGGCTGAAGGGCTCCTCCAGCGCGGCCAGAGCCGACTCCGAGGCGGAGGAGGCGCCCAGAGCGAACCAGGGCTGCTAGCACGTTGTCACCTCTCAGTATTAAGAGAGCTTAAACCGCAGAAGAGCCCACAAAATCAATCTCTCTCTCTCTCCCTCCTCTCTCCCTCCTCTCTTTCTCTCTCCTCTCTCTCTCTCTCTCTCTATCTCTCCTCACAAACACACAAATACCTCTGTATGTGTGTTTGTGTCTGTATGTGTGTAGCCAGCCCGTTCCCTGGTCAGGACCCTCCCTGACCTTTTTTTTCTTCCTTTCCTCCCAGGAGCTAAGTTTCTGATGCCTCCTTCAGCAACATTCCCTGAGCTGACCATTTTGTTCCTACACAATGCCCCTGCCTGCCCCAGCCTACACTCATGTCCTTCGTGACTATCACCTGCCAGTTCTTGGACTCATATTTACCACTCCCTGCAGGACACACAGGGAACCGGCCATCACCTCTGCCACTCACCGCATGCTCCTAGACTCTCTGCTCCCTCTGGTCCCTGGACTCAGCCCAGCCTCTACAACCCACTCTGCTTCCTCTCCTTGAGGCTCCTCAGGGCCATCTGTCCTTCCCCAGGCACAATAAGTGGGCCTAACTCCTTTTGAAAAAATTATTTCAATTAAAAAAATTTATTTATATAAACTTGGGGTGAAGTGCAGTTTTCATACATGGATATATTGCACAGTGGTGAAGTGTAGGCTTTTAGTGTAGCCATCACCCAAATAGTGTACACGGTATCCATGAAGGAATTTCTCATCCATCGTCCCTCTCCTATCTGCCCACCCTTCTGAGTCTCCAATGTCCATTATTCCACACTCTATGTTATCATGTTTTACTTTTTTCAGTTTATTTTTATTGTAGAGTAGCATTATAATTTTATATATTTATGGAGTACAAAGTGAGGTTGTTATATATATCACATACCTAGAATCATTGCATATATATTGCATAGGAATACACATAGACAATATAGGATGATTAAATCAAGCTAATTAATATATCTGTCATCTCAAATATTTATGATGAGAACACTTAAAAACTCCTAGCAATTTTCAAATATACAATATATTGTTATTAACTGCAAATACCATTATGTACAATAGACTCCTTGAACATATTCCTATCTAACTGAAATTTTGTATTCTGAGACCCCACATCTCCCCTATCATCCCCCACCCAGTCCCTAGTAACCACTGCTTTCTACTCTCTGCTTCTATGAGTTAAACTGTTTTAGATGCCACATGTGAATGAGGCCATGCAATGTTTGTCCTTCTTGTGCCTGGCTTATTTCATGTAGCACAATTTCCCTCCAGGTTCATCCAGTTGTTTCAAATGATAGAATTTCCTTCTTTTTATGGCTGAATAATATTCCATTATATATATATAATATATATATACACCATGTTTTCTTCATCAATTTATCTGTTGATGGACACTTGGGTTGATTCCATATTTTGGTTATTGTGGATAATGCTGCAATAAACACAATTACAGCTATCTCCTCGACACACTGATTTCCTTGGTTGCTGGATCATACGGTAATTGTATTTTTAGTTTTTTGAGGAATTTCTATACTGTTTTTAATAATAGCTATAGTAATTTATATCCCCACCAACAGTGTAGAAAAATTCCATTTACTTTATATCCTCTCCAACACTTCTTATCTTTCATTTCTTTGAAAATAACCATTCAAACAGCTAGAAAGTGATATCTCATTGTTGTCTTAATTTGCATTTATTTGATGATTAACGAGGATTAGCATTTTTTCATGTACTTGGCCATTTGTATGTCTTCTTTTGAGAAACATTTATTCAAGTCCTTTCCCCACTTTTAAATTGGGTTATCCTATGCTTTTGAGGTCATACCCAAAGTATCATTTCCCAGACCAATGTTGTGGAGTTTTCCTCTATGTTTTCTTCTAGTAGTTTTATAGTTTCAGATCTTATAATTAAACTTTAACCCATTTGGAGTTAATTTTGATATATGATGTGAGACAGGGGTCTAATTATTATTATTATTATTATTTTGCATGTGGGTATTCAGATTTCCTAATAGCCTTTATTAAAGGGACTGGTTGTTTTTTTGATATGTGTTCTTGGCACCTTTGTCCAAAATAAATTGACCATAACATCATGGGTTTGTTTCTGGGCTCTCTATTCTGTTCCATTGGTCTACATGTCTATTTTTATGCCAGGACCATGATGAATTACCATCATTTTGTAATACAGTTTGAAATCAATTATTGGGATGCCTTCACCTTGGTTCTATTTGCTCAAGATTGCCTTGGGTTTTGTCTTTTGTGGTTCCATATACATTTTAGGATATTTTTTCTATTTCTGTGAAAAAAAGACATTTCACCCATGAAACCATTAGTCTTGGGCTTTTTTGTTTGTTTGTTTTTGGATGCAAGATTTTTTTTTATTACTGATTCAATTTCCTCACTCATTATTGGTCTACTCAGATTTTCTATTTTTTCATTATTCTGTCTTGGTTGTGTGTTCAGGAATTTATCCATTTCTTCTAGGTTATTCAATTTTTAGCATACAATTTTTTATAACACTCTGTCATGATTCTTTGTATTTCTGTGGTATCAATTGTAATGTCTCCCTTTTCATCCCTGATTTTATTTATTTTAGTCTTCTCTCTTTTTTTTGTATTTGTCTTGCCAAAGGTATGTTGATTTTGTTTATGTTTTCAAAAAACTAAGCCTTTGTTTCATTGACCTTTTGTATTTTTGGTCTCTATTTCACTTATTTCTGCTCTAATAGCAATTATTTCTTTTCTGCTGCTAATTTGGGATTTAGTTTGTTTTTATTTTTCTAGTTCCTTGTGGTGCATATTAGGTTGTTTATTTGTGGTCTTTCTTCTTTTTTTAATGTGGGTTTTTTGTTTGTTTGTTTGTTTGTTTGAGTCAGAGTCTCACTCTGTTGCCCAGGCCGGAGTGCAGTGGGGGGATCTTGGCTCACTGCAAGCTCCGCCTCCCAGGTTCAAGGGATTCTTGTGCCTCAGCCTCCCAAGTAGCTGGGATTACAGGCATGTGCCACCATGCCCAGCTAATTTTTGTATTTTTAGTAGAGATAGGGTTTTGCCGTGTTGGCTGGGCTGGTCTCAGACACCTGGCCCCAAGTGATCCATCTGCCTCTCTCTCCCAAACTGCTACAATTATAGGCGTGAGCCACCACACATGGCTAATATACGTGTTTGTTGCTATAAACTTCCCTCTTAGAACTGCTTAGAACTGCATCTCAAAGGTTTTCGTATGTTGTGTTTTCAATTTTACCTGTTTAAATTTTTTTTTAATTTTTTAATTGATCCATTGGTTGTTGAGGAGCATGCTATTTAATTTCTATGTATTTACAAAGTTTACAAATTTCCTCCTGATGTTGACTTCTAGTTTTATACCATTGTGGTTAGAAAATATACTTGAAATGATTTAGATCTTAAATTTGTTAAAGCTTTGTTTTGTGGCCTAACATATGATCTGTTCAGGAGAATGTTCCATGTGCTATTGAGACAGATGTGTATTCTGCAGCTTTTGAGTGTCATTTTTTTGTCTGTTTGTTTGAGACAGAATCTTGCTTTGTCGTCCATGGTGGAGTGCAGTGGTGCGATCTTGGCTCGCTGCAACCTCCATCTTTCAAGTTCAGGCGATTCTCGTGCCTCAGCCACTCAAGTAACTGGGATGACAGCAGTGCGCCACCATGCCCAACTGATTTTTGTATTTTTAGTAGAGACGGGGTTTCGCCATGTTGGCCAGGTTTGTCTCTAACTCCTGGGCTCTAATGATCCGCCTGCCTCAGCCTCCCAAAGTGCTGGGATTATAGGCATGCACCACCGCGCCCGGCCTTGAGCGGCACGTTCTGTAAATGTCTGATAGGTTCATTTAGTCTAGTGTGTGGTTTAAATCTGATGTTTCTTTGTTTGTATCCTGTCTGATGATCTGGCCATTGCTAAGAGCGTGATGCTGAAGTCTCCCGCTATTGAGACTGAAGGGAAGTGCTGGGAAGGGAAGAGCATGGTCCCTTTAAATGATACGGAAGGGGGAAGGGAAGCGCTGGGTAGAGGAGGGCGTGACTAGGGCTCCACCCCTAAGGATCTAGGTGTGGACAGGCGTTTCCTGCCCACATGTTGCGTTTCCCAAGACCACCCTGGCCTGCCACGCCCCCAACCTGTGCCTATAAACCTCCCAGACCCCAGCAGGCAGACACACAGGTGGGGTGGACGTCTGGAGAAACTGGCGCGGAAGGCCAGTGACCAGCAGAAGCACAGTGATGCAGAGTTTTGCTGGGGCAGTTGGAAATGAGCCCAGGACGCTGAGTGGCCTGACTCCAGGGGAAAACCTTCCCACTCCAAGTTGAGCTGGTTAACACAAGCCGCCTATATAGACTGCAAAACTAAAAGAACACCCTCTAACACACGTCCACTGGGGCTTCCGGAGCTGTAAGCGTTCACCTCTAGACACTGCCTGGGTTCGGAGCCCCACAGCCTGCCCGTCTCATATGCTCCCTTAGAGGTATGAGCAGCGGGGCACTGAAGGAGTGAGCCACAAGCCCTGCTTTGGGGACAAGGGGCGTTTTCCCCGTTTCACTATTATTGTATCGTAGTACTGTATTATTGCCATCTCTTTTTAAATTTAATAATGATTGCTTATTTGCTTCACTGTTGGGTGTACATGTATTTACTATTGTTATACTTGTTGAATTGACCTCTATTATTATATAATGACTTTGTCTCTTTTTATCTTACGTGAACTTAGCTACTCCTATTCTTGTTTCCCACTTATGTGGAATATTATTTTCCATTCCTTCATTTTTCATTTATATGTGTCCTTACAGGTGATGTGAGTTTTTTGTGGGCAGCATATAGTTGGATCTTTTTTAAAAAAAAATCCTTTCAGCCACTCTATATCTTTTTTTTTTTTTTTTTTTTTTTTGAGACGGAGTCTCGCTCTGTCGCCCAGGCTGGAGTGCAGTGGCGTGATCTCGGCTCACTGCAAGCTCCGCCTCCCGGGTTCACGCCATTCTCCTGCCTCAGCCTCCCGAGTAGCTGGGACTACAGGTGCCTGCCACCCCGGCTAATTTTTGGTATTTTTAGTAGAGTCAGGGTTTCACCGTGTTAGCCAGGATGGTCTCCATCTCCTGACCTCGTGATCCGCCCACCTCAGCCTCCCAAAGTGCTGGGATTATAGGCGTGAGCCACCGCGCCCGGCCCACTCTATATCTTTTAATTGAAGCATTTAATCCATTTATATTCAAGGTTATTATTGATAGGTAAGAACTTGCCCCAGCCATTTTGTTAATTTCTGATTGTTTTATAGATCCTTTGTTTCTTTTTATTAGTTCCATTTGCGATTTGTTGGTTTTCTGTAGTGATAAGCTTTGATTCCTTTTACTTTTCATTTGTGTATCTGCTGTAATTTTTTCTTTGTGGTTACTCTG